>NC_000001.11:58190198-58341713 GCF_000001405.40 Homo sapiens | reverse complement strand
CTTCATTAGTAGGTAATAGAAGCTGCTAAAATCATAGTTGAGGAGTGGTTAAAGGCCTGGGATTTCGAGTCAGACTACCTGGGTTCAAATCTCAACTACCACTTTTTGTGATCTCAGGTAAGTTACTCAGCCCATCTGAGTATTCCACTTATCTGTAAACTGCAGATACGATCTACTTCATAAGGATGTTATGTTTAATAAATGGTTCTGAATTTTATGTTTTGTGTAAACTCCAAGGTTCTTTCCAGTTTAAAATATAGTCTCTGCTTCCCACTATCATAAGTGGTAGAGTAGATTGAAAGAGCATGAAACTGGGAATCAAGATTATTGGGTTTCAGTCCAAGTTTTGCTTCTAAGTAGGTGTCAATTTTGGAGAAGCATGCGACTTTCCTGGGCCACAGTTTTTCCATCCTCCTGTTACGGCTTCAGAGCAGATAACCTCTGAAATGCTTTCTTTTTAACTGATAGACTATTATGAGAGAGATGAGCCTAATTTTGGAAATCATAAGAAAATAGTTGTAAAAAATAAACTTGACTGTCATATGACACATTTCTCCTCTCCCTCAATTCTTAATTATTTTTTGCTTCAAATTAATGCACATTGTTTTTATCCAATAAATGATGCTTATGTGAATAATACACTAACATTAGCTGGGTCCACAGGGAGCCCAGAATGTATGGATAGAAATTGAGAAAAAGATACTGGCATCCACCCAGCTGTTCTACCAGCATAGCCCTCAAGCACACAACCCTTTGAATCTGCCGTCTGGAAAAACATTGAGATTTCAACAAACATTCTCGACATTTATCCTTTTCTAGCACCTCCTATGTACCAAGTTTTTCTGCTTATGGAAGACAATGCTGAGAAGTATGTATTCCATTTCACACACAAGAACACCTTATCTAAGCCTTGGGATAAAGTGACTTGACTACAAGCACATTAAGAAATAAGGACAGATATGAATTCCAACTCAATGTCCAATGTCAAGTCTTAGGCCATTCCTGTCCTACAGCCTGATGTCTGTGTTTCCATGTAGGGTAGGCCCAGCCACAGCACGTCAGCCACTTATTGTGATTTGGGGAGTTGAGAAGCCTCACATTTGTTCAGACCCTGGTATCCATTCTAGATGAGGGAGAGAGTTTGATTATTAGAAGGCATGGCTCCATCTTAACACAGTGGCAGTCCCTCATGAGTTTGGGCTCTTACTGTATTACTGTTCTAATGACCTCATCATATGCATTCTCTCACAGAAGATTGAGTGCAGGAGGAGTGAGTAAAGGAGGTAGAATCCAATAAAAGTTGAAAACCAGAGACTTCTCAGTTGAAGGCTTCTTTGTTTAAGGGGCCCGGCTCATGAGGGTGACAAGATTTCCCTCTTAATCCTCATTCCTGCTACTCTACTGTTGTCCTAGTAACGGGGACAGATGTCTTTAGCACCTAATAAAGAACAATAGAAAGACTTCGTGAGTGGGTTGGAGGAAGGACAGGAAGAAAACCGCTATAGCAGGAGTTGGGAAATCCTTTCTGTTAATATTCTCTGACAAATGGGTAAAATAAAAAGTCTGTATAGAAAAGCACCAGAATGTATTTGATTTGAGATGTCTTTCTTTTGCCGATTAGCTCTCTCCTTATTTTTTACAACTTTTACTGCAGAGTTAGTAAAATCAATGTTGGTTTATTTTATGGGGTAGAAATCTTCTTGAAAAATTAGCTGTGATTAGAATTTCTAAAAGCAAATCCTATTCTTCCCTGTTAACTCAAATTATAAAATTGAAGAAATATTCAGTGGAAAACATATTGGCCTAATCATTCCTAAAATTGCAGGATGTCATAAAATCTTGTATTTAAATTTTTAAATATTAATTTTAAATGAGGTATTAATAAGCTGAATAGTGTCACAAAATCTTCAGTGAGAAGCAACTAAAATATTTCTGTTTGGAAAATTATCTTAAAGTCTTCCAGAATAGGGACATGCTAAGAATAACACTAAAGTTTTAGCTCAATAGGTTAAAATTAACTGAGATAAGGAATAAAAAAGAGAAAGATTAAGCTGGCTCCAGAAGGTGAGCAATCATATCGTCCATATATGAGGAGAAATAAATTTTACAAAGTTTAGTGAGAATGTCAGACTCTCTTTCCCCTGAGCCTTTGAACATTTTCCCCTTTGTCTAGATAATTTCTCTATATTCCACTATCCTCTGGAACTCCCCTTACTAAGCCTTACTCTATTATATTTTTTCATAACACTTATCACCTTGTAACATAATATGAAAAATATTTATTATATTTTTGGTTGCTTCTTCCATTTCCCCCTGCCAAATATAAGCTCCTTGAGGATAAGAGCTTATGATATTAACATTGTGTTCATTGCTGTATTTCCAGGATCTAGAACAGGGCTTGATATGTAGAGAAAGTTTGATAAATATTTGTTGAATGAATGAAAATCTCATCTTGTAGAACATCTCCTTCATGAATCTTATCCTAAACAAGTTTCGTCTTGTAGTTACTCCATCACAGCACTTTTTACACCACACATGAAAAAAATTACATAGAATTCATATAGCATAAAATTCACCATTTAAAAGTGTAAGATTCAGTGACTTTCACAATGATGTGCAGATACTACTTCTCGGTAGTTCCAACGCATTTTCATCACCCTAAAGGAAAACTCTGTAGCCATTAAGCAGTCACTCCCCATTCCTCTTTACCCCTTGAACCTGACAGCCATCAATTCACTTTCCGTATCTATAGATTTACCTATTCTGGATATTTCATACACATGGAATGGTGCAATATGTGACCTTTTGTGTCTGGCTTCTTTCAGTTAGCATACTATGTTCAAGGCTCATCTATGTTACAGTATGAATCAGAACTTTATTCCTTTTTATGGTCGAGTAATTTTTCATTGTATGGATATACCACATTTTGTTTATGAAGTTATCTATTGATGGACATTTGGGTTGTTTCCACCTTTTAGCTCTTGTGAATAGTGCTGCATGAACATTCCTGTGCAAGTGTTTGTTCACACTAGATTTTGGTTGCCTCCTTTTTCCTCTGTCACTCCTACAAAACCATGAACTCTACAAGGGCAACGACTGTCTGTCTTATTCATGGATATATTCGAAGACTGAGTTGTGGCCTAGAAAATATTTGATGACTGGCTGAATATAAAATGTTCAAGACTCTTAAATTACTTAGTGAAATCAATAATTGAAATTTCTTAAATAATAGGGAACCAAAACCTTTAAAGATTCAATAATGCCACAAACATTGAAGAATATCTATGCCTTAATTCCATATGAAGGCTAGCTGCAAAAGAGAAGGGAATGAGGATGGGCAAGAGGAATGAAGGACTCCAGCAGGGTCAGAGAAGAGGAAGAGTGAGGTGGAAGTGGGAGGGGAAGGAGAGGTGAGGGAGAGCAGGAGGAGGGAGGGGACTCAGAGATGAAGGAGCTGGAGCAGCTCTCAGGTTGCTGTGTGCCTCTCACGCAGCTGAGAAAAGTCCTCTCTGCCCCCAGGAAACAGCTTTTTGTCTTTTATTTTCAAACATCAAGGTTTATTTCTGAAGTAAAGGTTTGCTTTGTGTGAAATCCTGAAGGTGTTCCCCAGGTGTTCAAGAGTGACTTTGGCTTTTAGAAACAAACTTTTGAAATGAAGAGTTGTCTTCAAATGTTAGTGGCTATTTTTTTTTTCTTGGCTAAGCTTTTCTTCATATATATATATAGTGGAAAAAACATGTAAGTTTATCCTCTTACCAACTTGGCAGTGTACGTAATAGTACTGTTAACTATATGCACATTGTTGTGTAAGAGATCTGTACAACTTTTTCATTTTGCATGACTGAAACTCTATACTCACTGAACTTAACATTTATTGAACACCTACCATGTGACTGCAATGATGACAAACCACTGTCTCTCCGGGTTAATATGCCCCTTTCTCCATTTATATACAGAGATTGTGTCCATTTTCATATATGATTAATACACATGTATTTTTATAATGATTTCCAGTTTATAAGGTGTTTCCCTTATACTTCTTTATAAGGTACTACCTGTTTATTCCATTATTTGATCCTCCCTCAAACTGTTATTCTCACTTTACATATGAGGAAGCCAAGGTCAAGAAAACATAAGTAGTTTACCCAAGGTCACAGAACTAGTAATGGCAGAGCTAAGATTTAAAATAGGTTTTTGAACACAAATTCTTCCCCACTGTATTATGCTACCAATGATTTATTCCAAATAACATTAAAGAATGACTTTAGCACTGCCTCTTGGGTTTCTGGAAAAGAGAAAAATGCTTATAAAATAAACTTTATTATTCTGGTACAAATTATTTACTATATAAGCTGCTTTTTCTTTTAACCACCACGTTACTCCAATTTATGTTATTTTATTTTTTACTTTGCTTTTTTTTTTTTTTTTCTTTGAGACAGAGTCTCGCTCTGTCAACCAGGCTGGAGTGCAGTGGCATGATCTCTGCTCATTGCAACCTCTGCCTCCTGGGTTCAAGTGATTCTATTGCCTTAGTCTCCTGAGTAGTTGGGATTACAGGCCCGCATCGCCACGCCTGGCTAATTTTTGTATTTTTAGTAGAGATGGGGTTTCGTCATGTTGGCCAGGCTGGTCTCAAACTCCTGACCTCAGGTGGTTGGCTGCCTTGGCCTCCCAAAGTGCTGGGATTACAGGTGTGAGCCACCGCACCCGGCCTTTGCTTGAGCCACCACACCTGGCATTTGCTTTTATTTATTGTTCTGAGCATTATTATTTTCCAAGTTTTAGGCACTGCATTCAATAAGTGCTAAAGTGTTGGGCCCAGATCTGGGCTTAAATCCTACTACTAAATCAGTTGTATGACCTTGGAGAAATCACTTAACCTCCAACTTTCAAAGGCTGCATCTGTAAAATGGAGCCAATGAGCTAATGCATCAAAACTGCTTAAGATATTTCCCTAGCTATTAGCAAACATGTAATAAATGGCAGATATTATTATTGTTATCCTAAATATAAAAAAAAGAATACTTCATCCAGTTAAACCATTTTCTGATAAAGGATTGAAGTCTTGCAGCTAGAAAATATGAAAAGAGCCTAGAATTTGAAGTCAAATAGAGTTAAGTGTTAATTTCATTTCTGCCACTTATTAGTAGTATGGACTTGATTTTCTCATTGCAAAATGGGAATCATAATACCTATCTTGCTGGTTTCTTGGGATGATATTTAGAAAGCTCTTGAAACATAAGTGTTCAATAAACATAAGCTACTATTATTACTATTGTAAAGATTATTATTTTAAATAAAACATCTCAACCTCACAGATCAAGCAATCTAGGTACTCAAAGAGGACATCTGAAGCAAATGCCAGCAAAGCATAGAATTCTTTCTTTTGAGATCAGAACCCAGAAAACCTTCAAACGCCAGAACAGAATATGACCATGATGATTAACAAGATGCAAGCCTAGACCCCAGCATGCTGAGGGAATTGGTATGTCCTGGATGTTTGCATCTGCATCTTATTCTTCCTTCTGGTACAAAGATTTTACATCCAATTTAAAAATCATTTATTGAACATTGACTACATGCCTGATCCCGTGCATGTCACAGTGGAAAACACAAAGACAAATGGGGTGAACCTTGGATCTCTTCTTGGTCCACATTCCTCTTGGGGGGTGGTTTATTCTGTTCCATGGCTTTAAACACATCTAAGTGCTATAACCAAATTTATTTCTTCAGCTCCTTTGACTTTCAGACTCATTTCCATCTGCCTATTTTCCACGTTCATTCAGATGTGAAGCACCTTGTAGGTAATGCAGCCAAAACAGAACCCTTGATATTCTCTCCTCCCACCCTCCATAAATTCACCTTTCCCCGACTGGATCGTATCTACTAAATTGCACCATAATTCATTCAGTTACTCAGGCCAGAATAGGAGTAATCCATGACCTCTGTCTCTTTTTCACGCCCTATAGCCAGTGTATCAGCAAGAATCGACAGCTTTACCCTCAGAGTATAATCCCCATCCAACCAGTTCTCACCAATCCCCTTTCCACTTCCACCCTGCCCCCAAACACCAATCCCTTGCATGGCTAGCTTCCTGGTTATCCCCCGTTTCCACCCTGGCCTCCAGGCTAATGCCTACACCCACATTCATTGTGCACAGCATTGCCCCAGAGACACCATTCGCAAAGACTGCAATTTGTGGAGCACCGAGTTGTGCAATGCAGTGACCCCCACTTGCCTTGCTCCAGTCTACACTCCATGGAGCCTGCTTTCCAAATTTAAGGGAAAGCCTGCTGTTGCTTTGCTCAGAACTCTCCTGGGCTTACTTTTCTATTTAGGGTAAAACCTGAAGTCCTGTAAGTTGCCTGAGGTTTTGGCCCCAGGCCACTCCTCCACCCTCATTTAATTCTTTTTCCCTCTCTTACTGTTCTCTTGCCACACAAATCTTCTTGCCTTTTCTCAGCCATTCCAAGTAAATTCCTGCCTCAAGGCCTTGGACTTTGCTAGTCCTTCTACCTGGGATGCTCTTCCTCCTGGTTTTTGTACGTGTACCCTCATTTTAGTCAAGTCTTTGCTCAAATGTTCCTTTCAAGAGGGCTTTCCTGATCGTATATGATTTCATTTGATATTCTCTTACTTACCCTGCTTTAGTTTTCTTTATAGCACTTATTCTACCTTACATTATATATTTACTTGTTTATTTTGCTGTTCTCTGCCTTACCCATAAGCACTTACTCTTCATGAGGATAAAAATTTTGTCCATTTTCTTCATCATTCTATTCCCCAGAAGTGCTAGTGCATAGTAAATATTCAATAAATATTCATAGATTGAATGAATAGAATATGAAATTCATTCATTGGTTCACGTATTCCTTCCTTCCTTCATTGAACAATCATTTACTAATACACTACTCTGTGCTGGCATCCCACACATATTGTTTCCCTTCATCTTCACAATGATGTGAACCTCATTTTTATGAATTCACAGAGTTTTGTGATGATAAATCCAAGCCACAGGAGGTTATCAAAGTCTATATAATACAATATAATATAATATAATATGATATGATATGATATGATATAATATAATATAATATAATATAATATAATGTAATATAATATAAGATAAATAGCTCAAAGGCTCTATTGCCTGTGAGCTTTCCACACTAGCAAATCATCACCTCCTTAACCCATGATGGTCAGTAGCTCTATGTGGCAGTTGATTAAGTAAGAAATGAGAAAACGAGTTATGACAGTATGTATGGTTTATTTTATGAGTGTATTAGTCAGGTTTTGTTGCAATAATAAACAACCCCAGTATCTCAGAGGCTAAGGACAACAAATATTTATTTCTTGCTTATGTTACATGACGTCGTGGATCAGTTGGGCTGGATTCAGCTCATACATATATATACATATATATTTAATATTGCAACCCAACAAAAAGAGTGACCAATGTTTAGGACATGCTGTTGTCATGGTGGAGGTGAGAGTGAGAAGGATTAAGTCAAGCCATACAAACACAGTTAAAACTCCTGATTGGATATGACAAGTGTCTAATATTTCCAATATTCCATTGGTCAAGATATGTCACATGGCCAAGCTCAACGTCAGTAAGGCAGGGATGTACATTCCTTCCCCGGTTTGTACAGGCATCTCACATGGCAATAGGTTGAGAAGATATGATCTTATTACAGAGACGGAGAGAGTAGTTCAGAAAAACTATACCCAGTCTATCACACAAAGAGAAAATATTTTTAAAAATGGGGTCCACAAGGCACAAATAACAAAAGTCCCCTCTAGATATCCTGATGGGGAGATATCACCATGGTTTAGAGGTTGTCTTCACTTGTGCAAATTTGGATTGACAATATTATTTCTGCCAGCAGTGAATGACTTCAGAAGGACTTCACTTATGCATTCTTTTATGCATTCTTTCATCAAGGACTTTGAGAACTTACTCTGTGTTAGATACCAAGGAAACTGAGATCAACTCATAACAGATTTATGTGAAAACCAGCTGTTATTTGCTTACAATTGGAGCTGTACATTTTTTAGCATACAAAATACTTGGTCCACTGTTCAGAAGATCTTTTTCTCTTGAATCCTGCCAAGCCAAATTAGCCCTGGTGAGCAAGAAATTAGAATAAAAGGAGTTAAAAGTGTGCGTGTGCACCCATACACTCAGTTTTGGAGATATTCTTACATATTCACGCTCTTTGCATCTTTTCTTCCAGACTTCATGTATAACTCTTCTGTTAACATCCTCTATCAAGATTTTAGTGGACACCTATAATTTTATTTGTTTAACAACTCCTCTCTCATTTTTCTGGGAATAGAGGAATTTTTTTTCCTTTTTTCTGGGAACTGTTTCTTTCCCTTTCCCCTACTGCCCCTATATGGTCTACAGGAGCCACCATCTTCTCACGTGATTCCTCCCCTACCACTGTTGATTGGTCCATGAGTGGGCGCACACTCTAAGCTTGACCAATAGGAGCTCCTGCCTTACGTTTTTAGAACTGGGACTAGGAGACTGCTTCAATTCCCCTCTCCGCAGGGAAAAAAATAAACAGGTCTGGAGTTCGAGACCAGCCTAGCCAATATGGTGAACCCCTGTCTCTACTAAAAATACAAAAGTTAGCTGGGTATGGTGGCACACGCCTGTAATCCCAGCTATTTGGGAGGTTGAGGCAGGAGAATCGCTTGAACCCGGGAGCAGAGGTTGCAGTGAGCCGAGACTGTGCCATTGCACTCCAGCCTGGGTGACAAGAGTGAAACTCCATCTCAAAAATAAATAAATAAATAAATAAAATTTTAAAAGGGTGACATAAGCTAAACAGATTTAGGATCCCATATTTCCTCCCTTGAGAATGAAAGTATGAGAGAAAATAAAGCTGACAACCTGAAAGAGTGAGAGAGAACACTGCCATGTGCCATTATAAGTCCTTTTCAAGTCCTGTGGCCAGTTTTTCTTCATGTCCAGCCATATTTCTGTCCTGATTGTATTTGATTATCATTCCTTTCTTGGATCCTGTGGATAATTAATTCTTCTCCTTTTTGGCCAAAGGTTGTTCAAGTTGTATTTCTGCTTGTTGCTAACGGGTCATTCTTTGAAGAATGATGGCATTCTTCACAATTTTTAACAACAAGTATTTTTAATTTATGTATGCACAGTTTTTAGAGACAATGCTATTGCACACTTAACAGACTACTATAGTGTAGACATAACTTTTATGTGCACTGGAAACCCCAAAAATTGTGGGACTTGCTTTATTGCAGTGGTCTGAAACCAAACTCCAACATCTCCAAGGTATTCCTGTATGGAGAAAAGCTTTGGCGAAACGCTGCCTGAAGAAGGAAACCTGGGGGAACATGAAAAAATATATATCAAGAATGGGCAGAGGAAGGAGGTCTGTGCAGAGAAGCAAGATGGGAACAAGGAACACAAACAGGTGAGGTCATAAATAATTCAGGGAGGGGAGTTTCAAAAGGGAAGGTGGAATCTACAGTAGTAACAAACACTTCTGGGAGAATCAGGCAAGATGTAGACCAAAAAAAATACTGGAGTTAGCCACATCGAGATCACTGACAATCTTAGTATAAGCCATATATGGTACAGAGGAAGGGTGATGCAGGAGTCAGTCAATATGGATTAGGGAGTAAATGGGAGCTGAAGAAGTTCAGACCATGAATATAGACAGTGTTATATTTCACAGTAAAGGCAAGAGATGAGGTTAGCATCAAAAGGTACGTTTTTGAGGAATAGTTTTAATTCTCCCCACTTAAAATGGAAGAGATGCGTTCCATAAACATTTATTGAGTAGATACAGGAATACCTTGGAGATGTTGGAGTTCGGTTTCAGACCACTGCAACAAAGCAAGTCACACAACTTTTGTGTTTTCCAGTGCATATAAAAGTTATGTTTACACTATACTGTAGTCTGTTAAGTGTGCAATAGCATTGTCTCTAAAAAACGTACATACCTAAATTAAAAATACTTGTTGTTAAGAACTGTTAGCAATCATCTCAGCCTTCAGCAAATCCTAATCTTTTTGCTAGTGGAGGGTCTTGCTTTGATGTTGATGACTGCTAACTGATCAGGGTAGTGGTTGCTGAAGGCTGGGGTGGTTGTGGCAATTTCTTTAAACAAGACAACAATGAAGTTTGCTGCATCAGTGGACTCTTTCTATCATGAAATATTTCTCTGTAGCATGTAATACTGTTTGATAGCATGTTACTCACAGTATAATTTCTCTCAAAATTGGACCAATCTTCTCAAACCCTGTTCCTGCTTTATCTACTAAATTTGTGTACTACTCTAAGTGCTTTGTTGTCATTTCCACAGGGTTCATAGCATGTTCACCAGGAATACTTTCCGTCTCAAGAAACCACAAGAAGCAATTCTTCATTCCTTAAAGTTTTATCATGAGATTGCAACAATTCAGTCTCATCCTTAGGGTCCACTTCTAATTCTAGTTTTCTGGTAATTTCCATCACATCTGCAGCTCTTTCCTCCATTAAAGTCTTGAACCTTTCAAAGTCATCCATAAGGGTTGGAATCAACTTCTTCCAACAGCCTGTTAAAGTTGATAGTTTGACCTTCCTCCCATGAATTACAGATGTTAATGGCATCTAGAACAGGGAATCCTTTCCAGAAGATTTACAGTTTACTTTGCCCAGATCCATCAGAGGAATCACAGTCTATGGCAGCTATAGCCTTATGAAATTTATTTCTTAAATAATAAGACTTGAAAGTCAAAATCATTCCTTCATCAATGGACTGCAGAATGAATGTTGTGTTAGCAGGCATAAAAACAACATTCATCTCTTTGTATATCTCCATCAGAGCCCAGGGTTGAATGACCAGGTGCATTTTCAATAATACAATATTTTGGAAGGAATCTTTTATCTGAGCAGTCAGTCTCAATAGTGGGCCTAAATTATTCAGTAAACTATGCTGTAAAAATATGTGCTGTCATCCAGACTTGGTTGTTCCATTTTTAGAACACAGGCAAAGTAGATTTAACATAATTCTTAAAGGCCCTAGGACTTTTGGGATGCCAAATGAGCACTGATTTCAACTTAAAGTCACCAGCTGCATTAGCCCCTAACAAGATAATTAGCCTGTGCTTTGAAGCTTTGAAACCAGGCATTGACTTTTCTTCTGTATCTCTGAAAGTCCTAGATAGCATCTTCTTTCTCCCAATAGAAAGCTATTTCATCTAAATTGAAAATATGTTATTTAGTACTTTCATAAATTATCTTAGCTAGATCTTCTGAAGAACTTGCTGCAGCTTTTACATCAGCACTTGCTGCTCCACCTTGCACATTTATGTTATAGAGACAACTTCTTTTCTTAAACAGTGTGAACTTTTAGCATCCAACTTTTCTTCTGCAGCTTCGTTACTTCTTTCAGCCTTCATAGAATTGAGGAAGAGTTGGGGCTTTGCTCTGGATTAGGCTTTGACTTAAGTGAATATTGTGGCTTGTTTGATCCTTTAGCCAGACCACTAAAACTTTCTCTATATCAGGATTGAAGCTGTCTCACTTTTTCATCATTCATGTATGCACTGGAGTGGCACTTCTAATTTCCTTGAAGAACTTTTCCTTTGCATTCACAAGTAGGATAATCATTTGGTGCAAGAGACCTAGCTTTTGGACTATCTCAGCTTTCAATGTGCCTTTCTAACTGATCTTAATCATTTCCAGCTTTTGATTTAAAGTGAGAAATATGTGACTTCCTTTCACTTGAATATTTATAGGCCATTGTAAGGTTATTAATTGGCCTAATTTCAATATTAGCATGTCTCAGGCAATAGGGAGGCCTTAGAAAAGGGAGAGAGATAGGGAATGGCCAGTGGTGGGCAGTCAGAATACGCATATTTATGGATTAAGTTCATCATAAAAAATGGGCGCTATTCACGGTGCCCCAAAACAGTTGCAATAGTAACATCAAAAGATACTGATTACAAATCACCATAACACATAAAATAATGATGAAAAATTTGAAATATTGTGAGAATTATCAAAATGTGACACAGAGACACTGACTGAGCTTATGCTGTTGGAAAAATAATGTTGATAGACTTGCTTGTCACAGGGTTGTCACAGACTTTCAATTTGTAAAAAATACAATGGCAAAGTACAATAAAGAGAATCACAATAATACAAGGTATGCCTGCATTATGTCTCAGATATTAGGTTAGGTATTGGATAAAAATATGACTATAACACAAGTGAGATTACATAAGTTATGGTACATTTATAAAATTAAAAACTATCTGCTCTAAAAATGATATTGTAAAGGAACTATTTACACAATAAAATCTGAACTATCTGCCCTGGAAATGATGTTGTAAATGAACTATTCAAATAATAAAATCTGTTGGAATTTTAATTAATTTTAAGAAATCAGGTTAAAAATCAGAATGCATATATCAAGACAGATATGTATGTATAGAAAAAAGCCTGGAAGAATACACAGAAAAATTCATGTAGTGGTTATTAGTAGTGTTGAGATATATAGGCAACTTTCATTTTATTCCTTTGCTTATCTACATTTTCTGCACTTATCCTCTATTACTTTTGTAGTAAGAAAAATACACAAAGAATATATTTCTAAAAATAGATGTATGTAGAAGCTGGAGTTGGTCACTGATTAATAGAAGAAACAATAGCATGAACAACCAAGCACATACAACACTACTTATTAAATTCAATGACAAGAGCTTACACAAAGGAGGAGTGGTTATTTCTGCCTGGGTAGGGAGGCTTCTCAGAGGAAGCGACATTTAAGTTAGGCCTTGAGAAATAAGCAAGAGTTGGCCTGGTTAAAAAGAAGGCAGGATTGGGAGGCCGAGGCAGGCAGATCACGAGGTCAGGAGTTTGAGACCAACCTGGCCAACATGGTGAAACTCCATCTCTACCAAAAATACAAAAATTAGCCAGGCACGGTGGCAGGTGCCTGGAATCTCAGCTACTTGGGAGGCTGAGGCAGGATAATTGCTAGAACCTGGTAGGTGGAGGTTGCAGTGAGCCGAGATTACTCCACTGTATTCCAGCCTGGGTGACAGAGCAAGACTCCATCTTGAAAAAAACAAAGGCCAGAAATTGAGCACAAAGTAAGGAAGCACATGAAGTCTTTGAGGGATCCTGAGCAGCCTGGGGGCAGAAGGGAAGGAGCACAGGGAGTGTGGCTGCTGCGGCAAAGGGCCTGGGATGCTCCCTTAAGAAGCTGACATCGCCTGCAGTGCAGCCATGCAGATCAAGCAGAGTCAAGCCGATGCTGCTGGAGAGGATTCATGGGAAAGGAAGGGGACAGTGCGGAGGCTTAGAGCCCAGGCATATAATGGTGAGGACCTGAACTATGAAAACGGGAGTAGGGTTGGAGAAGCAGGGCTGCTTTGAGAGCTACTTAGAAAGCGAAATTGATAGGCTTTCATAAAAATAGGAGCTGCGATGGCAGGTTAGGTTCTCCAGAAGCAGATCACGTTGGGATGAATTGCAGGGTGCAAGATGTTTCTTAGGGATCCACACATGTGAAGGGAAGGGAGAGGAAGCAGGGTTGGGCAGAAGGAGAAGTTGGGCTGCAATGCAGGCCTGACAAATCCTTGGCCAAAATAGCGGGTGCTCGGGAGTAAGCATTGACCATCAGGGCTGAACTGCGTTAGGCCCAAATACCTGAATCTTTACACCTCTGCCTCACTCAGCCAGGGGACAGGCCTATGGAATGCTGTGACCTCAGGTGGAGGGACCCTAAGGAACTGACAGCTGGAGATGTCAATCTTTCCTTGAAGGGGGATCTGGGTGGTTTATCTCCATGACTATGAGAGCTAACAAATGTGGACTGCTTACTAATATGATAGTGCTTATTTCTTCTTCATCTGTGACCATGCCCGGCTAATTTTTGTATTTTTAGTAGAGACAGGGTTTCACTATGTTGGCCAGGCTGGTCTCGAACTCCTGACCTCGTGATCTGCTTGCCTCAGCCTCCCAATCCTGCCTTCTTTTTAACCAGGCCAACTCTTGCTCATTTCTCAAGGCCTAACTTAAATGTCACTTCCCTGAGAAGCCTCTCTGCTTACCCTGTGAAGCAGTACTATTCGCATCCCCATAGCTAATTACAAATAGGGGGAGAAGCAACAAGCACAAAGAAATCAAGAAATTTGCCCAAGGTCATTCAGCTAGCAAGCAGTGGAGTCAGGGTTTAAACCTCCAGAATTTGGCTTTGGTGTCCTTGTCCTTAACCATTGCTCCACACTGCTTGTCACTGACACTGCTGGGAAAGAGTAGGAATGGGATCATTAATCAGGAGTGGGTTTGGGCTGGGCCTGACAGTTCTATAACATTACAGCCTGAGAACTTTGGTATTGCCTGCCTCCTCCTCTTCCTTCTCCTCTTCCTTCCTTCCTTCCTCCCTCCCTTTCTTCTTTTTCCCCCATATTCTATTTATTATCATGGGAAGAAAAGTCAAATTCAATAAAGTACACATTGATTTATCAAACAAAGTTCAACGTGGAAATTAACAGGATAAATACAGACTTTGGTGAAATTTTGCCCTAGCACTGATTATTAAGGATGTATTCAAAAAGGTTATCCATAGGAATTGTGGAAAATTTTAATCAAATGACAGGAATAATAGGCACTAGTTAGTAATGGGAAAATTTTATGTTCTGGGATTCTCAATACTTATGGTTTTCAGATTATTCCCTCTCTTTAAAAAGTGATATGGTCCCTTTAAAGCATGGTTCACATGGGGAAAATTTTAAAACACACACACATAATTTAGTACTTTAAAAATCAAAGCCAAGAGGGATTTTTGTAATTGTCTTACTTGCCAGGGATCTGGCAGAGTGTCTGGGATGGGGATAGGGGCTGAGGGGTTTGGAAGGTGGGCTGCAGGGAAGTGCGGACCCAGAAGACAATAAGTGACCAAGGAGAAGGCATGAAATCACCTTTCAGGGGACCTGGTCAGAGGACCTGTATATAAACTTCAGCTTCTCTCCCTCACTGCTGTGAACAGTGACATTACCTCAAGTTTCTGGGCCTTGGTTTCCACAACTAACAATGCTGTGTTATCACTGGGTTGCTGTCAGAATTAAAGGAGATGATGCCTGTGAAAGAGCCTGGCTCTCAGAAAGGACTAAGAAGCATTTGCTGAATGTGACTCAATAACACAGTTTCTCCATCTTCAGGTGGAATCTGTTTGCAATTCCAGACCGTCTTCTTCCACTCCTTCCTTCATCTTTCTCCTCCTCAAGTCCTCCTGCACGATGGGGGTTTCTGCATTCAGGGGGTCCCAGGCTTTGAGCTCTGGCCGAGAGGATAATTCCTCTCCTGCACTCAATCAACCTGGCATTCATCTGCAGCCAGGGAGAGCAGCCAGTCTGATTTCTTGACATAAACACACTGAACAAGCAAGACAGGCCCCACTGAGTTATTTAAAAATCGCAATCTGAAAGAGAGCATCTTGAATCTGAAGTTCTTGCCTAAATATAAATGGCAAAGCTTGTTCAACATCAAATCAAATCAATGATAATTTGAGGACTAATTAGCATTTGGGGCTTTTTTCAGCAGTGTGGTGATGTGGTGTATAATGCTACGTGATTGGGGAGAAGCACGTAATTACGAAGCTGAATACATTGTCCCCTGGAGACACGTGAAGGAGTAGATTTCCTTAGCCAAATAGGCCTGCCACCTCCAGAGGGAGGGGTGGAGCAGGGTGGGGTGGCCGAGTGGCAGAGTCCATATCTGAAGTCTGCTGCAACCATGGGAGCCTCAGAGGGTGATACCATCTCTTCTCTCACAGCCAGGTTTTTACTTCCACTTGGATCAATAAAGCTTCACCTCTCACTTTAATCCTAAAAGGTAAAAGGTGAGATAAGATTATTTTTAAATGGAATTAAACAAAGGAAACTAAAATTTGGTATGTGCTTGCTACAAGCCAGGTCTCAAAAGAATCACAGCAACAAATATTTATAGAGTATTTTTCATGTGCTTATGTTAAGTCCTTTACATACAGCACTGATTTAATCTTTAGAATGGTCCCATGAAGTTGGTAATAATATTGTTATTATTTTTTTCTTAATGAGAAAACTGAGGCCCTAAGAAGTTAAGAAATTTCCTCAAGTCTTATAAATAGAAATGGGCAGATCAAAGCTTAATATACTTAATATGCTTCTGGCTCCAAAGTTTATGCTGCTAATTTCTGTACTATATCAATTTGCATAAATTATATTGTTTTATAATTTCAATAAGCCTATGGAAAATTGCATATTCTTAAAGATGAGGAACCCCTGGTTTAGAGAGGTAAGGAGGTTCATTCAAGGTTATGCAGTAGTAAGTGGTTAGGTCTAAAGTCTAAGAGAAAGGTAAAATCAGAACAGAAAAAATAATTACAAAGAAATACTAGCTCTGATTTTAAAAAATGATAAAAGTCAAAGAGCACACAGCCCCCATGGGGTAAACCATTCTCCTTAAAGAGGAGACTTAGTTGAAGTGCAGTGTCTGTAATCTTCTCTCCTGTCTCCTGTGAATCAGCTCCTTTAGGCTTGGGGTTTATCACCTGGGCCCCAGGATTCAGTTGTCCAATCAGAGACTCTAGCCTGAGAGCTACAAGCAGGGAGAGGACAATATCTGACTGTCTCTCATATGCCAAGTCTGACCTATTGGCGACTGCTGCCTGGTGTATTATGTTGAGAAAGATTCCAGGCCACATTAGGGCTCAGCAGGAAAGAAAAACAAGTTGGTTAGTCATGTTGGTGGTGTCCATAGCACAGTGGAATGGTGGCATCTGTGCCGGGTATTGGCTATGCCTGCCTTATCTTCTAATTATTCCAGCTGCTCCTGTAGTTTCTTTTTGCACAGTGCATATATAGGTAGGGGGATATATTCTGATGAGACTCAGGTTGAAACAGCTGAATTCTGTAGGAGGCCCCAGCGTGCACAGGCAACACACCCAGCAGTTAACCACATCCCTTTTCTTCAAGGGACTCTAAGTTGCTTCATTTTAACATTTAGACATGATCAGCCAAGAGGCAGGTGTCTTGGAACAGAAAGGCACAGTAAGAAAAAGAAAACACTTTGGGTTGAAATTGTTTCCCCAGATTGAATATTAAGAGGCCAGAAAATGGCTGCTTTTCCAAGCATGATGAAGGTGATTTAAATTATGCTTGCTCAACTGGGGATGGCCTGATGGGGGTCCAATTGCTGAGTGCCATGTTGGACATAAAAAGTGAGACGATTAGTCTTCTCAAGAGCAACTGGGATGTCTTAATTGGTGGCAGGAAACAGGGTCTGCTTTTTCAAAACTAATATGATGAGAAAAACTCGAAGAGCTGAGACCCGAAGATATTCATACAAATAATTTTTATGAATAGATTAGCAATTGCATTAGGTTATGGTTTGGATTACTATCTGATTTGGACAATAACTCAGTAATCCTTTACTGAACATCTACTGTATCTCTAGGCATTTGAGGAGGTCTACCACTAAAGAAGCATATGCAGCGAGGCTATTATAATACAATTAGATGATATTTGTGGAGGAAGGCAGAGGCACAATTTACTAACTCTGTAGGCTAATATGGTTACTGTGATTGACAATTAAGATTACCTCTGAGCTCCCTGGAA
Organism: Homo sapiens; assembly: GCF_000001405.40. Lineage (NCBI taxonomy): Eukaryota > Metazoa > Chordata > Mammalia > Primates > Hominidae > Homo > Homo sapiens. The sequence continues at coordinate 58,324,082 of NC_000001.11, read as the reverse complement.
AACAAGGCAAAATGAGGAACATGGTGGGTACATGTTTGTACCACCAGTGAGACATAAGAAAATTTTGAAATGTAACTCTTTTTCCTTGTTTTTAATTTTTTTTTAATTGATGGTTACCTTTCTGAGAGCAGTAACTAAGTCTTTTTTTTTTTTTTTTTGAGATGGAGTCTTGCTCTGCTGCCCAGGCTGGAGTGCAGTGGCACAATCTGGGCTCACTGCAAGCTCCACCTCCCAGATTCACGCCATTCTCCTGCCTCAGCCTCCTGAGTAGCTGGGACTACAGGCGCCCACCGCCACGCCTGGCTAATTTTTTGTATTTTTAGTAGAGACGAGGTTTCACCGTGTTAGCCAGGATGGTCTCGATCTCCTGACCTCATGATCTGCCCGCCGCCACCTCAGCCTCCCAAAGTGCGGCTAAGTCTTATTATCTTAAGATCTCAGACATCTAGTAGAGTGCATGGCTTGTACTCAACAGACAATAAAAGAGAGTATGTCGAATGTATCCCACTGATTGGTTGATGGGAATGTGGAGAATGAGAAAGGCTATTCAAAATAGAGTGGTGTTATGATGCCTCTTAAGGAGGCCTTTCCGTGGATGTCTAAGTTAATTTAAAGCTTACAACTACACAGGTTCTTGGTGATCTGCCTAGATACGAAGATAAGACTCAGAATACTAAAAAGAGAACAGACTTACAGGCAGACTGTTGAGTATTTTGGCAGCAGCAAATTATAATTCTTCAGGAGAACCTGAGGGGAAGTGATAAACTCACCCTGATACCAAATGGTGAGAAGAGCAAGGAGAGTGATGAATATTTTATTATTATTATTATTATTATTATTATTATTATACTTTAAGTTCTAAGGTACATGTGCACAACATGCAGGTTTGTTACATAGGTATACATGTGCCATGTTGATGTGCTGCACCCATTAAGTCGTCATTTACGTTAGGTATTTCTCCTACTGCTATCCCTCCCCCTGCCCCCCACCCCACAATAGGAACGCATGTGTGATGTTCCCCGCCCTGTGCCCAAGTGTTCTCATTATTCTGTTCGAACCTATGAGTGAGAACATGCAGTGTTTGGTTTTCTGTCCTTGCGATAGTTTGCTCAGAATGATGGTTTCCAGCTTCATCCATGTCCCTACAAAGGACATGAACTCATTCTTTTTTATGGCTGCATAGTATTCCGTGGTACATATGTGCCACATTTTCTTAATCCAGTCTATCATTGATGGACATTTGGGTTGGTTCCAAGTCTTTGCTATTGTGAATAGTGCGGCAATAAACATACGTGTACATGTGTCTTTACAATAGCATGATTTATAATCCTTTGGGTATATACCCAGTAATGGGATCACTGGGTCAAATGGTATTTCTAGTTCTAGATCCTTGAGGAATTGCCACATTGTCTTCCACAATGGTTGAACTAGTTTACACTCCCAACAAAACTGTAAAAGCATTCCTATTTCTCCACATCCTCTCCAGCACCTGTTGTTTCCTGACTTTTTAATGATCGCCATTCTAACTGGTGTGAGATGGTATCTCATTGTGGTTTTGATTTGCATTTCTCTGATGACCAGTGATGATGAGCATTTTTTCATGTGTCTGTTGGCTGCACAGATGTCTTCTTTTGAGAAGTGTCTGTTCATATCCTTTGCCCATTTTTTGATGGGGTTTTTTGTTTTTTTCTTGTAAATTTGTTTAAGTTCCTTGTAGATTCTGGATATTAGCCCTTTGTCAGATGGTAGATTGCAAAAATTTTCTCCCATTCTGTAGCTTGCCTGTTCACTCTGATAGTAGTTTCTTTTGCTATGCAGCAGCTCTTTAGTTTCATTAGATTCCATTTGTCTATTTTGGCTTTTGTTGCCATTACTTTTGGTGTTTTAGTCATGAGGTCTTTGCCCATGCCTATGTCTTGAATGGTATTGCCTATGTTTTCTTCTAGGGTTTTTATGGTTTTAGGTCTAATATTTAAGTCTTTAATCCATCTTGAATTAAATTTTGTATAAGGTGTAAGGAAGGGATCCAGTTTCAGCTTTCTACATATGGCTAGCCAGTGTCAGTCAGCCCCTACTTGGAGGTATCCCCCAGTTAGGCTACACAGGGGTCAGGGACCTACTTGAGGAGGCAGTCTGTCCATTCTCAGAGCTCAAACACCATGCTGGGAGAACCACTGCTCTCTTCAGAGCTGTCAGACAGGGACGTTTAAGTCTGTAGAAGTTTCTGCTGCCTTTTGTTCAGCTATGCCCTGCCCCCAGGGGTGGGGTCTACAGAGGCAGCAGGCCTTGCAGAGCTGCAGTGGGCTCCGCCCAGTTGGAGCTTCCCCAGCCACTTTGTTTACCTACTCAAGCCTCAGCAATGGTGGATGCCCCTCCCTGGGCCAGGCTGCTGCCTCGCAGGTGGATCTCAGACTACTGCGCTAGCAGTGAGCAAGGCTCCCTGGGCGTGGGACCCACCAAGCCAGGCACGGGATATAATCTCCTGGTGTGCCATTTGGTAAGACTGTTGGAAAAGCACAGTATTTGGGCAGGAGTGTCCCGATTTTCCAGGTGCAGTTTGTCATGGCTTCCCTTGGCTAGGAAAAGGAAATCTCCCGACCCCTTGCACTTCCCAGGTGAGGTGATGCCTCGCCCTGCTTCGGCTTGCCCTCCGTGGGCTGCACCCACTGTCCAACCAGTCCCAGTGAGATGAACCAGGTACCTCAGTTGGAAATGCAGAAATCACCATCTTCTGCGTCGATCACCTTGGGAGCTGCAGACTGGAGCTGTTACTATTCGCGAATGATGAATATTAAGAGAACTCTTTCCAGACACTGCTGCAGCATAAAGAGGAAGGAAGTTATGTCAGTTAGGATCTAAACTGGAAAACAGAATTTACATGTATTCTAAGTGTATAAATTGGAGGACATTTAATATAAGGAATTGACTCCATAGTTAATGGAGGCTCTGAGAAGGCAAGAGGGGATGATGAGGTGACTCAGAGATCAGTAACACCAGGAAGCCACTACAACTCCTAAACTAGGGAGTGGAGGTGGTCTTACTAGAGCCAAGGGCTAAGTCACCTGGGCAGAGCTGGAACTATGGCATGCCTGCCAGGTGGGAGTCAGAGCTATTAAGTAGGTTCAATCACTGCCAAAGATGCTGCTCCAGGAGAGAGGGAGGAGGAGAATGAGCTGGCTTTTTTTCTTTCCTCCTCCTCCGATCTCTTGCCTCCCATTGGCTGAACCCATCTGAAATCAGCTGATGTGGGATCTGGGAGGAAGCACAGTCTCAGGTCTCAGATCCTCTGAGATACAGCAACAAGCAAAGAAAACATAAAGATGGACATAAGAGTAAAGGTCCAGGACTGGCACAGGTATGACTAACAATCTGGTATACTTATGTTCAACATGACCAGGCCTTGAATAATTAGTATTGTAAGGGCCCTAGAGAAGTTGAGGTCAGGTTTCTTTTTCTCAGTCTCATTCATGGAAAACATAATAGGCTACTGGCAACCTAGAAGGTGCTTTGAGAATGTGATTTGGTTGCAGACATGTCTGGATTTCAACCCCAGCACTGACACTTAAACCATGCTGTGAACTTGGGCAAGTCACTTCATTTCTCGAAGTCTCAGTTTCTCCATCTCTAAAATGGCAATGATAGTGCCTGCCTCAAAGAGTAGTTGTGAAGATTAAATGAGAAAAGGAGTGTATACACATAGCACAGTGCCACGCACATCAGAAGAGCTCAGCCCTTGGCAATTGTAAGATTATTATCTGTAGTCAGTCACTGTTTCTCACTCATACTGCTGATGCTTTCAGAACTTACTTGGCTTTCAGTATTCAATTTGTGTCACTGCCCACATGAAGCCCTTCCATATGTCCTTCCTGTGTCTTCCTGCATTCTGAGTGTATCTCTATCAGGGCACATTTCATGCCATGTTAGAAAGGTCTCTTCACACTCTATGTTCTTCACTAAGATGTGAGCTTCTTGCAGGCAGAAGAGTGTGGATTTCTCTCTCCATAGCATACCTAGGATGGTGTTTGGCAAAGAGTATGAGCTCAGTAAATGCTTGTTGAATGAATGAATAAATGATTGCTATAATGAACAATTTCCTCAGCCATGGAAACCTGTCTTCTGTGACCCGCTCTCTATTATACACATCTTCACCTAGTTTCCAAGCAAATCCTGAACAAGACACTGAGGCTGTCATGATCTAGTGAGCAGCAGATGGAAGAAAAATGAAATATTAGAGAAAGTTACAACAAGTTGGGAGAAAGATATTGGACACTTATTGGACAACGCCTGTTGTTCAGCACTTCTTTCCTAGAATGACCATGGCAGCCACTATACTTTTACAAAGAGACCTTGGCCACTGTGCTCAGTTTGTTCTAATGAAGTATGTGAGACCCAAGTGGGGCAAATCAATTTTGATTCCTTGGAATTTTAATCACTTACCAACAACTGAAGATGTAATATATAATACTCACAAGCTGTTGGCAGCCATACTTTTTCTCAAGGTAATATAAAGAGAAGTCATTCTGCAGACAGAGAAAAGAATAAAGGAATTGTTCAGAGAGGAGTGGAGAAGAGAGAAGGAAGAGTCCTGAGAATGTTTGGGGTCCTCAGTTCAAATTGTCCCTGTCACTTTTCTGTCTATTAATTACATGAGTCACAACAATAATTATAAAAACCTCTCCTTTTAAAGCTAGTTCAAGTTTGGTTTGTTATTTGTAGGTGAAAGCATCCAAATGCAAAAGGAATGTGAAAATGAAATAGGAAGCAGAAAAGTAATTTGAGACTAAAATATCAATAGCCATGAATACAAGATATAACCTATGGATTTTATTCTGTAGGCAATGTGGAGCCTTTGCAAATTTTTGAGGGGGGAATTCAGACACCCATGTTCAAAAGGCCTTAGATGACATCTAAGCAAAGTGTGCCATTTCTTTCCCTGCCCCCAGCCCCCTCTTTCTCCCCACACACCACTCCCCACTATAGTTCACAGGTAATAATCAGTCAGTAATTCTAGAAATGTGCTCTTCTCAATTCCTCTCACAAATACCTATGGCTCATATGAACACCCAGTACTTATCCCTGCCTCCAAAACCCCCTTTTCTTGCAAATTGGTCATCTCACAATGATCTGCTCTCTGGCTGTGGATAGTTGTCCTTCTAGAACCAATGTTATCACCATGGAAAGATGCCAAATGTCTGTTAGCTGCAGAGGGGGTTACATTCGGCACCTCGGAAAGGGGACAAAGATTTACAATGCATGCTTGGAATAGCTAAAAAATGCATTCTTCCTGCTTTCCAGCTTTTAAATTTCGAGGTGAGTAAAGATCTGGATTCCCTGGGGAGAAATTCAAGCCTGAGGCCATTAGTCAAATAGATGATGTGAGGCAGTGAGGAGGTGGAAAGAGTACTGGCTTAGGGAATCAGAAACCATGGCTCTAGACCAAGCTCTCCTACTAACTTGCTTTTTAGGTAGAGGCAGCTTAATTCCCCTTTTGGCTTCTAGGACAGTTTCCTCATCTGTAAAATGTGTGTTCTTCTATACAGGTCTCACATTTGGTGACTCTATGTGCCTGAATATGCCCCGGAGGGCAGGAACACCACCTTGGGTCTGAGTCACAATCCTTGAGGATGACCTTCTTAGAGTCAGCCCGTCCTCACTTCCTGGGCAGCTCTGTAAACCAGGCCTGTCCATGAACTTAAAAGAAGCCCTCCTGGGCTTCATCATAGTCATTGGACACTAAACATCTGTGGGCTGTCCACTCAGGATGCAGCCTCAGCAAAGACATACAAGTGATGCCTCAAAGAACCATGTGGACTCCAGGAGTATCTGTCTCCTCCAGTACCAGCTCAGATCTGACTTGCTTGTAGGAATGAGGTGCGGTTAGCATGAGGTGAGAAGTGAGGAGGTGCTTAATTGGACACAACTCCTCATCTCTTAAATCTCCTCTGGCAGTTATGGTCTGAGCCACACAATCTAGCATTAGGCCATATGGTCACTTGAATTGTTCTCTCCTTTTTTCCTATGTGCTCAGCTAGGATCCCTAACCTTGCTTTAATATCTTTAAGCTCAAGGGCAAATATTTATTGGGAACCTACTCTCTGCCAGGCATTGTGCTGCTCATTAAAGATCAAGAGACACAAAGCACAGTCCCTGACTTTGCAGAACTCACTGTCTAGAGAGATATACAGATGGGGAAACATGTTTATACAGAGGGTGCCAGGATACAGGGGTATGCTCATTTTCTATTGTGGTGTAACAAAGTACCGCAGATTTAGCAACTTAAAACAACCTTCATTTATTAGCTCACAGTTCTTCTGCAGGTTCTCAGTCCAGACAGGCTCAGAGGAGCTCCCTGCTCAGGGACTCACCAGGCAAAATCAGGGTGTCACCTTGGCTGGGCTCTTATCTGGAGGTTCAGAAGTAGAATCCACTTCCAAGCTAGTTCAGATCACTGGCAGAATCCAGTTCCTTCGGGTTGCATCTGTGGTCCTTGGTTCCTTGCTGGCTGTCAAGCCAGGGGGGCACCAATGTTCTTAGAGGTTGCCCACATTTCTTCTCAAGTGGTCCATTTTTTCCATCTTCAAGCCAGTTGAATCTCTCTGTCTTCCCCTTCCTCTGCTACCAGCCTGAGAACACAACTGTATTTTTAAGGCTTTACATGATGAGATCTGGCTCACCCAGATAATCTCCCTTTTTCAAGCTCCCTGTGTTTTGTAACATAATGCAGTCATGAGAGTGAGATCTCATCACAGTCACATGTTCCAAGGCTTAGGGCGTGAGATCTTGAGGGTCATTCTGCCTGCCATGTGGGCATTATGGACATTAGGGAGCACAGAGCGGGTGAGACCAAACACTCAGCTCCCATGGAATTGTGGAAGGCTTCTTGGCAGAGGAGACACCTAATTGGATTTTCTAAGGATGCATTCAACTTAAGCATGGGGAGAAAGGGAGTGAGGGAGATAGCTGGACAGAACAGATGGAAGAGTACTGTGGCAAAGGCAATGCTCTCTCTTCCCTCCGCAGCATCTAACTATTGCTAAGCACAGAAGAATTTTCAATAGTTTCTTAATGAATGAACTGATTGGTTATGGATCATTGTAATGATTAAGTTAGATAATTCTCAGAATGTACTTAGAACAGTGCTTGGAACAAACAAAATTATAAATATGTACTAGCTATTGTCATACAACTCAGAATAGAAAAACTCTTGAGAAGGAATATTTATTCATTCATTTACAAATGCTGTTAAGAATAAACTCAATGCCAGTGTGAGGTACTGGGAAGACAGTGGAGAATGAAGCAGACACCCCTGACCTCATGGAATTTACTCTCCAGATAAGCAAATGAGCAGGGGTAACAAGTGTACTGGGTGCTGCTGTGGTCCAGGTGCTACTCTGTTCATGTCTCTGATCTTTGAAAGGTTGTTTCCTTCTTGCCCACTTAGTTACTGAACACAAGCATCCCTCCTTCAGATCAGCATCCCCCTCTTCTCCCTAGCACTACTCACCATACTCCTCTTTTTCTCTCTCTCTGTTGGTTCCTGGTGGTCTTGCCTGCCCTCTCCTCTGGATTTGAGCACCACAAGGGCAGAGACTGAGGTCTATTCACTATGTGTCCCCAGCACCCAGCCTGGCTCATGATAGACCTCAGTAAATGAGTGCTGAATCAATGAACTTAGACTCTGTTTCCTTGCTTGGATCAAACCCACCATTTTTTGTTTAGTTCATTTTAAATAAATATTTGCATACCACCTGTTGTGTGCCAGTAAGTAAGCAACAGAGCCAAGATTCAGACCCAGACAGTCTGCTCTGCTTGACACAGGTAAGTGTGCAGCTTCAGATCTTCCTGCCCAGCTTTGTACCTAATATTACTAACAATGACAACAAAACACAAACAAAAACTGCAACCATGTATTGAGTGCTGTAGCACAGTTCCTGTATTGAATTTGTAGCACAGGGGAGTAAGAATTACTATCTTCATGTTAGAGATAAGGCATTTGCCTCTCAGAGAGGTTAAGCTACTTGCATATGGCCACAGGGGCAGTATGCAGTAGTACTTAGGATTTAAACCACAGTCTTTTTGATTCCAAACTTTGGCTCTTTGGGGACGATTTAGTGCTTTTGACTGATTGTTTTCATTGAACTGATTATTTCTTTTCTTTTGCAATGACTTTCCAGTTTAGCCTCTATGGAATCACCATTTCAGATTTACTTAGATAATATTAAAGAAAAAGTCAGAATCTTAGCATCTTGAGTACAAGTAGCATAAGCCAGTTCACAGTGATGCTCCCGTGATTTACGAGAATAAAGATCAGCTTCTCTTTGTCAGTCAGTTCATGCCCTATCTCTTTTGCATCCCCATCTTGAGGATGCAGCCCTATCATTGTGACAAATAAAGGAATTGTACATTTCCAGAACATCACAGACAGCCTGAGTTACTTCATCAGTTCACTCTCCAGATATTGGCCTTTTCCTTAAATCACTTCTTTGTTACCCAAGATAGAACCATGAACACTACAGATATCAAACTATGTATAAATTCCTCCAAGAATCAGCTATATTCCTCCTGCACCCCAGCACCCAACACATGGTCTGGCACATAGAAATTGCTCAGGGAATGTTTGTTGGATAAATGAAAGGAAGAACCAAAAACTGAAAACACACACTCCCCTTGTGCTTGGCAGTGGGCTGAGTCTGGAAGGAGCATGGGGTGATGGAATTTGGCACAAATGGAGTAAGTTGGAGCAATGCTTCTCAAATTTTCTGTAGTGATGGCCTAGATTCCTCTTTTATTTCTAATCAGCCAAAGATTAATACATGGTCCTACTGCCAGTATGTGCTTCATACCATTGTCAGCTCATCTCTGTGAATTCAAAAGCACCCTTACTAGTTAGTATCCTGTGCAATGAGACAAGGCTACTGGTCACAGGCTGGGAAATAGAGCGATGTAAAATTGCTGTAAGAATTTCTAAAAGCTCACCCTCAATTTCTAAACTTATTAGAAACCATAAATAAATAATTCACAGTTTAGCTCTGGTCCTTGAATCACACCTTGAGCAGCACTATTTTAGAGCATGGGCTTGGATTCTTAGTAGCATTAGAGTCTCACTGGATGTTCATTGTTTGGAGGAAATTACTTAAACTCTCAACCTTCTAAGTTTTCTCATCCATAAAATTAGAAAAATAGCAATCCACCTCTTATGGAGATGTGATAGGGATCAAATCAAATCCTTTACTCAACATTCATCCAACAAACATTTATTGAGCTCCTGTTATGATAGACACTCTTAAACATTGGAGAAAATGTTGTGAACAAAACAGACAAAAAATCTCTGTTGTCATGGAGCTTAGATTTTGGTGAGATAATCTATATAAAGAAGGTAACCTAGTGCCAGTAGTCACCAGCTGTGTGTTATTTGGCAAATCACTTCACTTTACTGAGAGTCAGTTTGCTAAAATGGAGCAAGAATAACACATACCTCCTACAATTATTATGAAGATCCAGTGAGATGAGGCAATGGGGGCGTCACTTGCTGGGAGAGTGAGTAAATACGACTCAATCGTAAGTACAAAATATCAAGTCTAGATCTTGAGGGAGGATCAAGGTCATGGGGAGCTTCCACCTGAAATAAAAAGAGGGCGCAAAAACCAGAGAATCCAAAAGAGTTTCAGGAATTAGATGGGGCCAGTACCTAAAGCCAGATGCATGGCCAACTGAATAAACAGAAAGGACCCAAAAAGGACTGAAGGAAGTTGTCAAGGCCATAGAACAGGATCAGGCTTTTGGAATCAGGTAGATCAGAACAAGAACAGACCAGACAACATGGCTTGTGACTTGCTTGGAGTGTGTCCTGGGGCCTGTTGTATGGGCATGAGACAAAGGTTTCTGGGATAGGTTAGAACAGACCCCCATATCTAAAAGATATTGCCCTAAACACAACCAGAGGGTCCAATCTTCAGTCAGGTCCATGGAGTGAGATTAAGTCCAGGACTGAGCAATAACCAGATAATCAGGAACCATAAAAATTCAAGAAAGGAGACTGAGGCAAAGAAAAATTATGATATTAGGTTAGAATTCATGCTATGTGCTGTGGACTGAATGCTTGGGTACCCACCAAATTCATATGTTAAAATCCTAATCTCCAATGTGATGATTCTTGGAGGTGAGGACTTGGGATGGAGGTGAGTAGGTCATTAGTGCCTTTATCTCTCTCTCTCTCTCTCTCTCTCACACACACACACACACACACACACACACACACACACATGAAGATACAATGAGAGGATGGCCACCTGTAAACCAAGAAGAGGGCCCTAACCAGGAACCAATCCCACTGGCACACACATCTTGGACTTCCAACTTCCAGAATTGTAAGAAATAAATGTCGGCTGCTTAAGCCACCCAGGGTATGGTATTTTGTTATGGCAGCCTAAACCAACTGACACACCGGGTTACTTTTGTTAGCCACTCCAGATCTACTGTTTTCTATTCTTCATCCTGTTCTGTCCCTGGAGAGGCAAAGAAACACTGGGAGTAAATGAATGTCTTATCCTCTGGCTTCTGGATGAATTCAGCCAATGGTGGGGAGAGACAGGAGACTGGAGGGAGAGAGTTGAGGAGAAGAAGGTTACAGGATTGGTTCTCTGCCATCCCTTTAGGCCATTGTGGGATGTCTGCATCTGTCAGCCACAGGTCTGTGTCCCTGTCATGGGCTGGGTTCTGGTAACCACTCCTCCCTCTTGCCCCTTCAGACCTAGAGATGTCAAGGAGCCCCACCTACTACTAGCCCCAAAGTGCCACATTTTCCCCCTACAATTTTGTAAATAGTCCTGTTATCCTAATTAAATGTGCCATCTGTTTTCTGCTGGGTCCATGAGTAATACAGAAGCTCCAGGGCTTATGTCCAAAGCTCTGTCTTACTGGGTTCTATTTGCATAAACTATGAGTGGGTCAGCCTAATTTAAAGAGACAGTATTGGAAGAATCCATAGTGGACAGCAGGGAAGACTGGAGTCATGACTTGGAGGTAGTAATGCTGGGGTCTGGGATCACAATCAGAATAGGCCCCAAGGGTTAAAATAAAAAAGATAGCTAATATTTAACATTGCACTTCCTGTATGCCAGACACTGTTCTAAGTGCAATATAGTTGTGAACTCTTTTTTTTAACTTTTATTTTAAGTTGTGAACTCTTTTAATCTTCATAATAATGCTATTCATTAGGTAGTACTGCCAACGCTATCTTGCAAAATGAGGAAACCAAGAACAGGTAGGTCAAGTAACTTGCCTGAGTTCACACAACTAGTAAGTGAGTACAGCTGGGATCTGAACCCAGCTAGTCCCAGAATAGAGTCCATGTTCTTAACTACCAAGCTTCTAAACATTTGCTATTCATTTCCACATACTGAGCTTGTCCCTTCCTGGCTCTTCTTATTCTGAAAGTTGCAAATGACACCCTTTGCATTGACTCTCACACTTATAAGTTTTAGCATATTCTGAACCTCCCATTTCTGACCGAGTTCTTACAGGTTCCAGAATGTTTCGGATGCATCAAAAGGATAAACATCAGCCCAAGATTTCATAGCCAGTGAAAGGGAAGGCCGTTCTTAAGCTCAGTTCTTCCTAAGCTTTTCTATTCTGTCTTGTGAACCTTGGAAGCTCCCACAGGGAAAGGACAGTGCATGTCTTTTTCATTGCCACATCCTAGTATCTGGTTCATGGGAGCAGCCTGATAAACATTTACATGACGAATTGTTCTGACATATCCTTTAAAATTCAGGGTTTATTAGAATGTATGAAGAAAAACTGCATTTTTCCTTTAAATACCCTTCATTTATTAGAATCCATCCCTTTGGGAACATCAGAACTGCCTTTTGCATCGCCCTGCTCTCTTAGGATGTCTTCTTTTCTTAGAGCCACACACCGAGCAGGGATTATGCTTGCTTGGTAGCACCTTGGCCTCATCTGCAAGTTCACCAGCTTTCTCAGCCAGTGACAACAGGGAACTTTGTGTCTGATGGCAGCTTTTTCTTGCTTCCTTTATCTCACATTGGTCATGGAAGTGGTTAGATGCTAATGCACTTATTACAGAAAGCCATACCTGGGTTTGAATCCCTGCTTTGCCATCAACTATGCAGCAACTGCCTAACTTTTGTGTGTTTCAATTTCTTTATCTATAAAATGGGTGTAATAAGAGCATCCCACCCCCCAATGTTGTTGTGAAGATTAAAAGATATAATATGTATTTATCAGTTCAGGCCCTGCAGGAAGCAGATGTCAATACAGAGTTAGAAGTGCAAGAGACTTACTGGGGTAGCACTTATGAAAGATAAAGGGGCCAGGGAGCAGGAGTCATCAGGGAGAAACTGCAGACCATGATACAGTCTGGCACCCATGGAAGGAGAAGAGGAAGAAAGGGGGGTTGGGTAGGAAGTACCCTAGACCTTGGTTTACCTCTGAAAAGTCACACCCAGGCCAACCAGGAGCTCTGAAACTGAGATTGCCAAGGCAGGATTTCTGCACTGGGTAGAAATGGCCAGGCCCTATATCCCCATCATGCTCAGTCTTTGGTTAGAACTGCCTGGGAATGGTAGACCTCTAAAGCTGCCACAGTGTGGAAAGTTCTTAGCACAGTGCCTGGCCTCAAGCAAATCTTCAGTAAAATGTTAGCTGCTGGTATTATTTTTATTAGGAGCCCAAGGAATGGAAATAAGTGTTGTCAAAGAGAAATTATTCACTATACACTTATTAAAAACAAGGCAGATCTTATTTGAGCTACTGTACTAGGGGAGAGAGACTTCATGATAGAATGGGACTTTCTTTGAATAAAGCAAAGACAGCTGAAGATTTATAGCCCATGCACAGAGTGAGGGGGTCAGTGGTTGGAAAACTACTAAGAGGAACTTGATTAGACATCAAGATACTGGCTTAACAAGTTCTTGCTAAAGGCAGGCCAAGGACTTAGATGTAGGGTGGGGGATGAGGAACTTGATCAGATATGAAGAATTGGGAGATTCCTGCTAAACTGACTTAGCAGGATTCTTTGCTAAAACTGGGCTCGGTAAGCTAGAGACAGATCCAAAGTTGAGGACTGCTCAGGGAGAGGGCTCAGAGGAGTCTTACTAAGGTCAAAGAGGGAGTGTTTTTCACCTGTCATCTCTGCTAGATGAAGGGCACCTCTGGCAGGAATGATGCCTAGGTTACCTTTTTACCTGACCTCTGTCTCTTGCCCCTAATGCCTGATCCATAGTAGGACTCAGCAAGGGGTCATGGAATGATTATACGAGTGAATATTGGTATATGTAAGGATTGAGCTTACTAAACTGAACTTGTTGGTCAGGACCAGCACAGGTAAATGACACCTGTGGGCAAGGTGCCAGTGTGTCTCCTGAGTCTCTCTTAATTTGCAATAAGCGGAGTCCCCATGGGCCTAAACTCAGGGTTGAGCAACTGGGCAGTCTGTGTGCACAGGACACCTGGCAGCCATAGAAGTGTGGGTAGAGACATCTGGAAATGACACATTGCATACAATTTGTTGTAAGGAGCTACAGGCAAAGGCATTGTTGAATCAAGAGAAGGCCAAAGCCCTAAAATTCAAATTTTTAATTCTAAATTGAATTTGTTTTCAACAAACAACTCAGCTTATTGAAAAATCTACACACATTATACTCTCCTATAATGTTCTCTGCGGACCACAAATGTTGAAATTCCTTCAAAATCTTTTTGAATGTCTTCCATTACATTTCAGCTTTATTCCGAATACTCTTCTGTATCAATTTAAATTAAAACAAATATTTTTTGTTTTATATGTGAAGAAATATTATATGTGAAGAAAACTTATATGTGAAGAAATAGGTGTTCAGAGATGGCATAGGTCTTTCCTCAAGGTCAGAGGATAAGCCCAAGGAAGAATCAGAAATTGTATGCTAAACTCCTGACCCCAGCCCCATGTGATATTCTCTTTAGGGCATGTGTGTGTATGTGTGAGCATGTGTGTATTTTAATAGACTGATAGTGATCAGCCAAGTAGTCACTTGACTAATTGCTTTGATCAAAATTGTCCTGGGGGAAAAAGCACATTATTTTTGAAATGAAGATATTGGAAATAATTAAGCAAGATCTGGCCAGGAATCATCAAGATTCAAATTCCTCCAGCTGTCTGCCAGTTCAACAACTTGCTTATTTTATTAGTCTCCAGTGTGAGCTTCCCTTTCTCCACTTTTGCTGAGCTGGTAATTTTAAGTATATTACCTCTCTGAGCAGTTCCAGGTCTCCTCCTGTCCATCCACACACAGATCTCTGAAAATGCTTAGAGCATTTATTAATACAGTCATTAGTACTCCTGGGCCAATTTCAGGGTCTTCATTATTATTGGGAAAGAAGGCCATTGCAGGGTAATTTTCACTTTACCCCATTCCAAGATTCACTCATGGACCTGCCTAGAAGATGGAAGGTAACAAAGGAAAAAGACAAGGCAGTGGACTTGTAGTTGGCAGACCTGGATTTGAATATATGCCATAGTTTTTTGTGGTTATGTATCTGGGACAAGTTACTGAGTCTGTTTGAGCTTTAGTTTCCTCATTTATAAAAACCAAGAAAGAGTTCAAAGTGAGGCTTATTCCCTACCCGTCTGGAACCCTCATCCTTTCCAGTGACCTACAGGAATGAGATGTTAAGTATCTGGGGATACCTATAATGTGTTTGTGGTGGCACAGTTGAGAAGAGTTGCTCTATTAAAATTCAAGCGGCCCATGGGAAGGGTAATATGCTAAATACCAAACATTTGAGGCTCCGAAAGTGATGTTGTAATATAATCCATTGTTTGACACATTATGCCTGTCCAGCATCTCATCCTAGCTTAGGAAAACCATGAGATTGTTTGTGTATGGAACATTTATATCTGCTGCATGCTTTACCTTAGGATTATCTCAAATCTCACAATACTTCACAAAGAAACAATATCATCCGCATTTTATAGCTAAGAAAAACAGTGCTCAAAGAGGCTCTAAGGCTAAGCTTTTTTCTTCTTCTTTCTTCTTCAGCTCAATTCCAGTCTCTCTCATCTCATATTGCATAATTATTCATTCACTCATTGGACCACAAGATCCTTCAGCTACTCTTTGAGGTTGCGCACAATTTAGGTGATCAATAAAAGCTTGTGAAATAAATGAAGGAATAAACGTCATCTTTCTCTCTGGAGATTTGACCAGGTAGACCTTGGAATATGGGGAGCGCCTGAGTCTCACTGCAGGAAGTAGATCTTTGTCCAGCTCTAGGTAGTAAAGGAGGCTGTTTTTTACCGGGTAAGGAACACAGCCAAGTGTTCTAGTGATTTCTGCACAGAGGGAGAGCGAAGTGGCAGCAACATTGGTCCAAGCTAGCTAGCAGGTTGCTGAATCCAGCAAGGAGTAATTTGAGGACTAAGTATAGCAAACTAAAGCCTGGTTATCTAAATGAGAGAATCCTTAAAGACATTCAGAGTGGCTGGATGCTAAGTGCATCTACTTAAACCCTTTCTGCTTGAGACTCACATGCATTCTGGGAGCTGAGGACTTACTTAAGCCTGTAGGGGAGGGACAGGTGCTTCCACTGTGGAAGGAGGAAAGAGGAGAATGTCGGAGAACAAATTGGGTGTCCTAGCTCTAGGCCTCTGATCCATTGAGGCAGGGTTGTGGTGTCAGGTGTCATGCCCACATCACTCCCCCCAACCCCATACTCATCCCCTGGAAGCCAGAATATTTGCATTTAAAGTGACTCACTGAAGAGCAAGCAGCTTCATCCAAAGGAGTAAATATCTAATGAGAAGGCTTTCAGATGCTTGGATAAAAGGATGTGAGGGCATCCCTTTTGAGGTCAGGCCTTCCCAGCAATCTCCAAACATGTGAAGGCCACTGTGTTTAGCTATGTGGACTGGGTTCTGCACAACTATATGTGGCAGCCCTGAATCTCACCCTGGAGCAATGTGTTTCCTGGAAGAAAATTCACTGAAATGTCACTCTGTATGCACAGTGAACAGAATTTGCACTGCAGAATAAGCTGAATTTTTCTAGAGTCTCCTTTCTCCTTCTACATGGGGGTAAATTTCTCATGTTCTTCAAGGTCTCTCGCTCCAGTGCCATTGCCTCTGTGGACCTCTCCGTGATGGCCTCCTGTGTCCCCAAAGAATTATCCATCCTCCTTTCTTCATGTTCCTATAGCACTTTGTTAGCTTAAGCTCTACTCTGATGTGGTCCCTGGCCAAGTCTGCAGCTCATTTCCTGGCCCCCTTTCCTGGGTATTTATGCTCTAGCAATGCTATTCCTCCCCTCCTCCACCCCCACTCCCCACAGCACTCACTTCACCCCCAAAATGCTGCTGATGCTTCCCAGGCTCTGCATATGCTTCTTCCCTCCATCTGGAAGACCTTTCCCCACTCTCTTTCTGGCTAACTTTCAGGCATTTCTTCCAAGACTTAGCTCTGGCCTGAGACAGGGACTACAGCTGGATGATTCACCAGTGTAATCCAGGCTCCTGGCGTGCCACCTGGAATCTAGTAGAAACTCAGGGAATATTGGTTGCATGCATGAAAGAATGAATCTCCTCCAAGAAATTCTGACACCAGTCCCCCAGCCTGAGTTAGATATCAGTCCTCTCTGTTTCTGTATAACTCTATGCCTGTTTTCTCAGTTATCCCTTTTATTGGAAAGTGTGTCTATGTCTGTCGACCTCTCTCACCTCTCCGTTTTCACTACTAGATTCTAAACTTCTGAAGGGCAGGGGCCAAGTTTCACTCATCTTCAGGCTTTCAGTGTCTAACAGACTGCCTGGCATGCAGTAGGCCCTAAATAAATGCTGATAGTAACTAATGGAACAGAACTAGATGACTGCTACTTTTAAGACATTGCCTTATGGTGAGTAATTTTCTTTCTTTTTTACTGGGCTTGGAGATCCTAGTACCCCACATAGTGCCTAATAGGGAGTCAATAAAACGTTATTGTTTGATTTGTAAAATAGACTTCCTTGTAGAGTAGAGAAAACACTAGTTGAAGAGTCAGCTTTTGGTTCTGATGTTGCCACATGACAACCCAATTACCTTGGGAAAGTCATTGGAGTTCTTTGAAACTCAGTCTTCTAATCTGCCAAATGGGCATACAAATTTTCTGCTATCTTAGTTTGGTTCTCCCATAAGTAGGATTTATGTCCCTCGACAAGGACTTGAGTTACATAGTTTATTTGGAAAGTGGTCTTACACAATACAAGGGAGGAGTATGTAAAAAAGTGAGACAGGGGAGAGAGACAGGTCAATACTGTGGGCATTAATAATGGGCTGCTGCTGCAGACAAGGTGGGCCTGATTCTGCTGGAGATCCTACAAGAAACCATGTAGAATATGCCTCCAAACAGTCTCTAGAGATGAGCTGGAAGCAGGGGTATTGATCCTTTTACCTTCATTCCCCATTGGGTGGAGGTGGCTCTGGGGTGTTAACATCCTCCCAATTCTGCAGCCAAGCAACCCCCACTAGGTGCTGGAGAAACCCTGCGGCAGAGGAATGGTGAGATGCAAAGACTTGAGATGGGAAGCTATTAGTATCTTTGAAACTAATAGATGCAAGTGGTCGCAGAGGTGAGCTGAGGGGAAACAGCGCAGGAATTGGACAGCATTTGTCTACCAACTCAAAGCGTCCTGTGATTATCAACCAAATTCTTACAAGGAAAGATGCTCTGTGAATTTAACATACTGTTAAATGTCAGATATTTAAATGTATTATTTCCTTACATTTCAATATCCTCCCCCAAATTTCACCTTGCCCCTTCCAGTTCTCCTTTTCCTCCTTCCTCCTTCCCCACTGAACTATTGTTGTCAAATTAGCCTAATCAAACCTAGCTTGTTTTGCTCCTTAAGGAACCCACAGAACTCCAGTGACACTCATTATTTCTCCAGGAGAATCTGAGATCTCCAATAATGAGTGCTCACTTGAGGTTCTTCTCTCTTTCTGTCAGGGAGACAGCTCCTCTTTTCCCACCTCATCACCCACACAGGCGAACCCTGACCAATGTGTGTCTGCCCTGGAAGGGCTGATTCTTCCCTTCATAGGAGGAGGACTATAATGTGTGTGGAGGGGGGTGGGGGGGTGCTCCTGTCACAGCCCTGCCAGGCCTGAGAGTTCACTGGAACTGTGGAAAGACCCTCATTGTGAAGCTTTCCCCTGCATGTCAGCACCACAGCACCACTGCAAGGACAACTCAGATTCAGCCTTATAATGAGCTTTCCATGTGGCCTGTTCAAGGCATTCTTTGCACATTGGTGATTTTGAGATGTTTCCTTTAGCAAAATCTGTTTAGTTTTGTAATCTAGAATTACATATTCCGGAAACAGAGATGCTTGGGGAATGGGCTGACCTACTTGATAGAACTTTTTTGGTAATTATGATGACTTGATCTTTTTTGAAAAAGGAAAGTCTTAAATATTCATATGCTTTGATCTGATAACTTTATTTCTTTGCATGCATTGTAAGGAGATACTCAAATATGAAATGCTTTACACACAGAGATGTTTGTCACAAAATTATTTGTAACTGGAATAATGACTAACAATAATAGGTCAATGGCCAAATTTTATGAAGAGTATGTAATAGTGTAGAAAAAACAATATTACCACAATGTGAAAGATACAGATTTTAGTACTGCATGTGCAACATACTTATTCCAGTAAAAATAAACAAAATAAAAATGACTCCTATAAAACAGGCAAGAATTGTATCTCAAAATGTTAATAGTGGTTGTGTTAGGGTGCTGTGATTCTGGGAGATATTTTCTCCTCTTGACTTTCCTACATTTTTATGTTCAGCAGACATTTCAGTTCAAAGAACACTTATTTTTTGCAGGGCACAGTTATCCACACCTGAAGTCCCAGCTACTTGGGAGGCTGAAGCAGGGGGATTACTTGAACCCAGGGGCTCAAGACTGTAGTGTGCTGTAATTGCACCTGTGAATAGCCTGTGAATTGCACCTGTGATTACTTGAGCCCAGGAGTTCAAGACTGTAGTGTGCTATGATTGCACTTGTGAATAGCCAATGCACTCCAGCCTGGGCAGCATAGCAAGACCTCCTCACTAAAAAATTAAAATTAAAATTAAAAATTAAAAAAAGAACACCTGTTTTTTTTAGTGTTGTATAAAAACATTTGTGTCCAAAATTGAGTAAATGCTATCCTTATAATTGAATAAACATATGCATGTGAAAAGAGAGTGGAAGGGAATACAGAAATGATCATCGTTATTGTGATAGGCAGTTCTCTCAGTCCTGCTGCGTCAGAATCCCCCAGGGAACAGTGAGAAACAAGGGATTCCAGGCTCTCAGAGATTCTGTAAGTCAGCTGGGGTCCTGTGATCTCTAATTTTAGCAAGCTTCTGGTGATTCTAATACAGCTTTTCTGTAGAGCAGCAATGGACAGCCACTGTCATTTGCGAACTTAGAGATCTTCTTTCCATATCATAAATGTTCTGTACTGCTGCCAAATTATTTTTACAATTAGAAAATGCACAAGCACATTTGGATCTAAGTGTTCAGCAATATGGAAATGGCCTCCTTCCAATTTTGTAATCTGCTCTTGTCTTTGAGCATTACGAGTTTCTCTTCCTACTTCATAACGATTATTTTAGTGGTTACATATTATTCTACCTAGTGTATATACTGTAGCTCATTTACCATTCCTCTGCTTCAGAAGAAGTGTCACAGGAGGAATGGCTGAAGAAATTAGGAACTTTTGTTTTAAGAGCAAAGATACCTAAAAATAGACAGAGTACATCTAGGGGGCAAATTTGTTTCCCATGGTCCCAGCAGGTAAAACCATGACCAGTGAGTGGAAATTACCATTACACAAACGATGGCTTTCAAAGCTACATTTGGCATGCATTTGGACAAGATGTTCTAAACAGTGCCTGAGTATCAAATATTTGATATGATTCCTGACTGCTCTAGGGTCTTTCTCGCCCTTATATGCTCTGGAATCATGAATTTTTCCCCGTACTTATCCAGAATGCATTGCTACTCACCCTGGGCAAGTCTATTTGCAAGGCTAATATAATCAAAATTTTACTAAACTGATTGTGGTTTATTCCAAACAGTGCTTAATTCAAAGCAACTGTTCATCCCCAGCTGAGTTGGGCCCTATTGTCCCTGGGTAAAAATAAATAAATAAATAAACAAACCAAATATATGAAAACCCAAACATAAGCAAATAAATTAGGGGGGTAATTATTTGCAGAACAAAAAGATTCCCCACAGGGGAATTTAAATTGTGAGCTCTCCTATGACATTTACAGTGTAATTAAATTATTAGCCAAAATGTGGTTAACACCCAACTTTCTGTAATCTCTTGCTCAGACCTTGCCTTGTTTCCTCTTCTCCTTATAAGCTAAACCCCTGATCTCCACCTGGAGGCTCAGTCCTGCCTTGAGATTTGAGTACCAACTTCCCTTTATAAAGGAATGACATAGGATTCCATATGCATTTCTTGTATGGGTGTCATATCACGCATCTCTGGTTTGGACATCATCTTTTGGATTTCAGCTATGATGCTTTGGCTCCTATTTTGGCTTCTGGAGAGCCCAAGTTCTTTCTTTGCTACTTTCTTTAGGATAAGTCCTGGTTTTTCTTACCTGTTCTGTTCATCTCCATATTAAACTTGTATCAGTCAGGGTCTGGGAAGGACCATCAGTAGGTGGAATTCAATCCCTTGAACTGGTGATAAACATGTTGGAAGTACTGAAAAACCAAGTGGGGTCAACTGAGGCACCCCAGAGATTCCCCAAAGATTAGCAACAGCAGGAAGCAGCTCTATGGCTGGGCTGAGGAAGGGAGGAGGAGATGGTGCTCCCAGAGCCCAGGATCAGGGACCTTCCAGCTGGAACTGGAACCCAGGATGGAGGCTGCTTGGAAGGAGGTTGGATCACAGAGGTAGAAGGCATCAGATGAAAGCTGGAGTCCTGGGAGGAGGGAGCCACTTCTTCCTGCCTCCAATTTCCAGCGTCTTCCTCTTGTTGGCTGAGTCCAGCTGAAAGCCAGTTGGTAAGGAATTCTTAAAAATATAGTTTGCAGAGACCAGCCCCCTGTGATAAAAGCAGAATAGAGGAAAGGTGGGGAACAGATCTGGATGCAAACAGACAACATACTTGGCATAACACATAAAAAACTGAAATTAGTGAGATATTAAATAGTAGTTTGAATTCTGGTCTGGGTGATGCCAAAGCTCTACAGGGTGAAGATAAAAACAGTAATTTAAAAAAATAGTAATGAAAATAGCAACAATAATAATATTTATTGATTATTTACTCTTGTCACTTTCATTCTAAGCACTTTACATATATAAATGTAATAAATGCAGCAGCCCTATAAAGTACTTTTATTATTATAGTCTCACTTGACAGATGAGAAAGTGAAGACTCAGAGAAGTTAAGAAATTTTCTTGGAGCCACACAGCTAGAAAATGCCTGAGTCCAGAGTCCATACATGAACACAGGAAGCCTGGCTTAGAAGCCCCTGATATAGGTTACTAGCACAATGCCTGGCACATAGGAGAAATTTAAATATG
Organism: Homo sapiens; assembly: GCF_000001405.40. Lineage (NCBI taxonomy): Eukaryota > Metazoa > Chordata > Mammalia > Primates > Hominidae > Homo > Homo sapiens. The sequence goes on along the minus strand of NC_000001.11, from coordinate 58,302,518 downwards.
TATTGGAATTTTTACACTGTAATTGATTTTTTCCACCCATGGAAAGAAAAATTGCATGAGCAGTTTTCTGGGTCAGGCTCAGCTCAGGTTTCCCCTCTGTTTCTTTGCTGCCCTCCACCCTCTACTCCTCTCTCTCTCTCTCTTAAGGCCCCAGTTCCTGAACCAGGGCCTCAGTTAGGGCTCATAAACACCATCCAGTGTCCCTCATTGACATTTAATGGCCATTCTTTATATAGGCAACATTCTTGAGAAAAGGGATTTTCTTGGACTATACTGAGAATGTGTTCATTTCTTGCTACTGCTGTGTCTTAGTGCAATGGTTTATAATGAGGAGAGATTAATTTTGTGACATTTTCAATGTCACCTGTACTCATCAAAGGTCTAAGTGTACACCAATTTCAAAACTGTCCCTTAGTTTCAGGGGAGCCAAATTCCCTGATCCCATCTCTCACCCCACAATTTCTCTATCATTAAGCTACAGGTTCCTGAACTATAAAATGAGGAGGCCAGACTTCCCTGCTTAGCTCCCAAGGTGGTGGTGAGAATTAAGTGAGATCATAGAAGGCAAAATAATAATACTAATAAGAGCTAATATCTCCATATTGCTTACTATGTGACAGGCTTATACACAGAATTCTTACCACAACCCTATAGGGTAGATGCTTTTATTTTTCTTATTTTACAGATGAGGATCTGAGGTACAGTAAGATTAACCGTTTTTGTCCAAAGTTACAGAGCTAATAAAAGGCAGAGTCAGAATTCGAACTCAAGGCAATCTGGGTCCAGAGTCAAAAAGAATAGTAATCCCTCCGGGCCTCAGTTTCCTTGTGTGAGCTCTTTCCATTCTAAACTTTTGTATCAACAGACAATTAAGGTCTTAAAGATACTGAGAGGAGGGAAAAACAATGCATCTACAGCAGGGGTGTCCAATCTTTTGGCTTCCCTGGGCCGCACTGGAAGAATTGTCTTGGCCCACACATAAAATAGACTAACACTAATGATAGCTGATGAGCTAAAAAAAAAATTCGCAAAATAATCTCACAATGTTCTAAGAAAGTTTATGAATTTGTGTTGAGCTACATTCAAAGCTGTTATGGGCAGCATGTGGCCCGTGGGCTGTGGATTGGACAAGTTTGCTCTATAGTAATCCAGAAGTCTCATGGATTCTCCCAGAGGTTGAGATAAACTTGGCTGAAACCTACCTGCTTTACGGTCGGTGTGGGTTTAGTGCTTTCCGCAGAACTTCTGTGAGTTATTGACTTAGTTAATTTCATGACCCCCCCCTCTCCACCCCCACATATCTGCTCTTCTGTTAGTCTTGAACCTAGCATATGCCAATCAGAACTCAAAACTCCACCTTTGCAGGCTTCCACAGGTGATCTAGTGGTTGCCAGCATGCTATACTTGTAGATTTCCTGAACATTTTTGAACCATGATGTGGAGTCACATTACGGAGGGTGAGGCCCTCTATTCATGGCCACTAAGTAGCCTATACTCCACCTTTGTGCAAATTAGAAAAACAGCCCTACCTCACCATCTCCAGGACCAATTAGAAAAAGGACCTTCTCTGAGAAGACAATGAGGAAAATCTCTCCCTTCTTCACTAACATAGGTCCACACCAAGGCCTCAGTTTGGCAAACAGAGTGCATGTGGGCGGGATTTAAGCCCATTCCTGCCCTTTCACTGCCCCCACTCAGCACACAGCACAATGTGCAGAACTGTATGCATTGGTTCTGCCTCTGCCATCTCAGTGACCCCAAGGAAGCCCTACTTCCTTGCTTTCTCTCCTTGCCAGTTTTCTCTTCCTTCCTTCCTTCCTTCCTTCCTTCCTTCCTTCCTTCCTTCCTTCCTTCCTTCCTTCCTTCCTTCCTCTCTCTCTCTCTCTCTCTCTCTCTCTCTCTCTCTCTTTCTTTCTTTCTTTCTTTCTTTCTTTCTTTCTTTCTTTCTTTCTTTCTTTCTTTCTTTCTTTCTTTTCAGAGTTTCACTTTTGTTGCCCAGGCTGGAGTGCAATAGTGTGATCTCAGCTCACTGCAACCTCTGCCTCCCAGGTTCAAGCGATTCTCCTGTGTCAGCTTCCTGAGTAGCTGGGATTACAGGCACCCGCCACTACGCCTGGCTAATTTTTTGTATTTTCAGTAGAGACGGGGTTTCACCATGTTGGCCAGGCTGATCTCAAACTCCTGACCTCAGGTGATCCATCTGTCTCAGCCTCCCAAAGTGCTGGGATTACAGGCATAAGCCACTGCTCCCAGCCCTTGCGTTTTCTTAAAGCAGCAGTACCTTCCAAAAGCTCATTTCTGACAACTACATTTCTTCACTGTGCTAGGGCCCTTGAAAAACATATCCCAGAAGCCCCTTTTTCTTCTAAGCAGAGCCCACCACTACCCAGTTTTCTACATTATCCTGAGTCATCAGAGCATTCACGTTTTTGCCTAAATCTACCTTTGTCTACTCAGTAAATTTGGTTTCTAAACGTGACCCTTTCTTTTAGCAACTCCATGGAGCTAAGCCATAAATGAAGTAGAAATCATGGGAGAGACAGGAAGGCTTTTATCCTGTCCTTGAGCCTAGGGGCTTGTGCCACTCTCCCCTGGAGAGAGTTGCTTGCCTCTGCCTCCAGGAAGCATGTGGAGGGACAGGGCCTAGGTATGTGGCAGATGAAGGTATGTACTAGCAAGCCCAGTACATCACAATCAGTCTTTGGTAGGCAAGAAGACAAATGCACAGGCCCTACATACTCTGAGCAGAAGTGTTTAATCCTCCTGCAGTAATTCTGCTCATTCGTCTCTTGCTCTGGCTCCTGAGAAGTCCCAGAAAGATGTGTTACATTCCACATACAGCATCTTTAAGGTGCATGGGTGTGGGCACTATCACAGATAAAAGAAAGCTAAACCAGTGGTCGTCAAAGGCTCTGACTGTGTGCCCCTATCAGTAAGGCGTTTTTGAGGAATCACCCCATATATGTATGTTTATTTATGCATTATGTGTATTCATTTATTCATTGCATACATGCACCTCTGCACCTATGCTTGTATGCCATAAACATACAAAAATAAAATTAAGAAATGCTGTATTAAAATAAATGTGAATAGAAGTTCTAATACGTTCCTTCCACATCTGAGTTGATTATCTTGCACACCTCATTGAAAGTGCACAGCCTACTTAGATACCACTGAAGTAAACCATCATACCTCCTCGCTTAGGACTGTGGGAAGGACATACTCTTTGGAGTCAGTCAAATCTGAGTTTTAAATCTGGCTTCTCCAATCTCTAGGCAGGTAATTTTGGATAAGTAATGTAATCTCTTGTGCCTTAGTTTGAGCGTCTGTAAAATAAGGTATGATACTCTGAGCCAGACCCTCTGCTGGGTGCTACAGATTTAGAGATAGGGTAAAAGTTCCTTTATCAGTAGTCCAATACAGACAGAATTTCCCAGGATCTGTGAATGACTGCCCTCAGATGACTTGGGCTGTTGGTTGAAAATGCTGATTCCTCACCTTAGACATAAAATCAGAATTTTTTGGAATAGAACAAGGGATTCTGCATTTTACGTGTTTCCTAGTGACTCTTATATACATAAAAGAGAGAAGTAATTATACTGGTAAATAGACGTAGTAACATACTTCTACATAGAGTAGAGTAATTAGAGGTGCTACAAAGAAGGATAAATTTGGAAGGGTCTGGGAGCCCAGAGAAGGGGTGCCTACTCTAGACTGGGCAGCCTCCTGGAGACAGTGATGCAAGGCATTGATCTTGCCTCCTCCAGGCCTGTCTCAGTCTCAGAGTCAGCCTTCGGCCTGGGCCATGCCCCCATCAGAGCATTTGTTTGGCTCAGTTCTAGTCCTCGGACTCTTCCCACTCTTTCTAACTTATCATCTCCAGCATGTGTGCAGTGACAAATTGCATCCAGACCTACAGAATGTCTGCCGCACCTGCAGCTCCAGTCTGGGAGTGATGACAGAGCTGCTGGAGAGGCATAGGCTCCTTCTGCAGGCTGTACATGTTGTGACTCTGCAGAAAGCCTTGGGCTACAATAAAGAGTATAGTGTTGATAATTTGTTTATACCCCATCTCATTCCTATTCCAACAGGATTTGAAGTGTCTTCAAGAGATACAAATAATACAGGTAAAAAGATGAGATAAATGAGCAAAGGTGGGCAAAGGAACAATAATAGAAAGAAAGTAAAGTAAAGACAGTGGTGGAATCAGTCAACAAACTTTAACATGTAATCCTGTGCACCTGTTACAAGTGGCCATGAATTTGGCTTTAAGCTCTCTAGCCAGGAAAAAAGAGAAACAATATTAGTTTTATAGTATTCATAGCACCCATTTGAGTAAGTTGAAGTTGCTAATGAGCAGCACAACTAGAAATGTCTTAGAAAGATTGCAAAGATACAAAGTATCCAGTGAATGCTGATGTGAATGATAGCCTCAACACATTTCAATAATTTAAAATGTTGTCAATATATAATATTCTTTAATCATATTTTTTAATCATAATACTTTACTTGAAAGCGCTTTTAGGGTCATCTGGTTGATCTGACAATGGAGGAAACTGCCCCAAGTGATGGGAGCCATTCTCCCAATCTCCCACTATAGACACATTCTTTCTCAGCTCTGTGTTCTCTCCAAGCACCTTGTCCAAATGCAGTTGAAGATTTCCCAACAGTCAGGCACTCCTAAAACTTTGTTCAACCTGCTTCTACTATATTTACAAATGTCTTTCTCATGAATTTATAACCATCCTTCAAGACTCAGTTCAGATCTTACTTTTTCAGGAAGCCTTCTCTAATCTAACCAATTAGATTTACTTTCTTCTTCACCATGCTTCTATATTACTCTACTAGGATTTCTATTTTAACATTTATTATAATCACCATTGATCCAGAGTGTATATGAGGCCATCCACTAGATATGTCTGTCCCATTCCCTTTATTCCCTGTGTCTCCTGAACCTGCGGAGAAGTGGAGAAAGGGCCATTTGGAATCAGTCAGGAAGCAGTGCAAGAGCCCACCATTGAGCACTCACTCTGTACCAGGCATTGTGTAGTTGGGTTGAGTTCTGAGATGAATGAGACCTAGTCGTTGCCTTCAAGCCACTGCAACAGTCCACTAGACCATGGGCTCTTCGAGGGCAGGGGATATTTATACTCATCATTACACCTATAGGGCCTTATGTACACTTGAATTTGAAGCAACCTATCCAAGTAATACCAAGTTACAGGTCATTTAAAATACTCATCTCAGCTTTTATTTCTTCTACTTAATTATACACGTTCTCACTTAATTCTCACAACTCTAAAATAGACATTATTAACCCTATTTCACTTAAATATAAGTGAAAGAAGCTTGAATGCTTACCATTTAAAAATCCTATTAAGCTTCCATTTCAAGGGAAACATTGATTAAATACTACTTACCTTGCAAGGTTGTTGAGAAGAACAATGAGATGACATACATAAATGTGTCTCAGCACAGCACTTGACCTAGAGAAGATGCTTTGGAATTGTAGGCTGCACTCTCTAGAAGCTAACATTTTACTGAATATTGCTATATGTCAGGCACAGTCTGAAGTATCTGAAACATTTTAATTAATTAATATGCTTCTCTGGACAACCCTATGAAGTAGGTGCTAATTGAAATTTCTGTTTGAAAGATATAATGGAGAGTTTAATAATTTGCCCAAGGTAAACATAGCTAGCTGGAAGTGGATTGGGATTCAAACCCAGGTAGTCTTGCTCCACCCTGGGTTTTTAATCATACAACAATTCTGCCTTCCATTAAAGGCTACAATCCAACATAACAACTGTTATGATAAATATGGGTTCACAGTACTATGGAGGCATAGAGAAGAAATGAGCTAGAAGGAAATGCTTCCCATGAAAAATGATGGCCTGAGCACAGTCTAATCAGGACTGAGGAAGAGCACAAGGGTGAAGGGAATGGCACAAATAAAAGCATAGTCAACATATGCATGAGCCTCCAGCAGGATGTGCCACTGGAGTCTTGGAACATGCATGAGCTGCACTTTGCCTCTCACCTGTCCTTGATACTCTCTCCTGCCCCAACCACCCGCAGCTGCCTACCTCCTGTTGTTTGATGTTTGATGTTTCTGCGCATAGCCTTTGCCAGCGGATCATATTACTGGGTCCTTTGGGAGGGACCACAATCAACCATTGCTCTTTGTCTGAGTATCTACCAGAAGGCTCTATACCACTGTGGACACTCAGTAAGGAGTTGTTGACTGCCTCACTTTTCTTTCTTTCTTTCTTTCTTTCTTTCTTTCTTTCTTTCTTTCTTTCTTTCTTTCTTTCTTTCTTTCTCTTTCTTTCTCTTTCTTTCTTTTTTCTTTCTTTCTTTCTTTTTTCTTTCTTTCCTTTCTTTCTTTTTTTTCTTTCTCGCTTTCTTGCTTTTTTTTTTTTTTTGAGACAGAGTCTCGCTCTGTTGCCCAGGCTGGAGTTGCAGTGGCATGATCTCGGCTCACTCCAACCTCCACCTCTGGGGTTCAAGTGATTCTCCTGCTTCAGCTTCCTGAGTAGCTGGGACTATACGGGTGTGCCACCATGCCTGGATAATTTTTTTGTATTTTTAATAAAGACAGGATTTCACCATGTTGGCCAGGCTGGTCTCGACCCCCTGACCTCAAGTAATCCACCCACCTTGACCTCCCAAAGTGCTGGAATTACAGGCATGAGCCACTGCGCCCAGCCAACTGTCTCCCCTTTGATATCCATGTTCCCATTTGTAGCACCTCTGCCCCTTGCGTTCCAGTGTTTAATCTCTAAGTCATTCAACACACATCTATAGAGCCTCCACCAGAGGCCAGGCATGTCCTCTGTACTGGGCATAAAACAATAAATAAAACAAACAAAAAAATCTCTCATCTACTCTTCTTTCAAAGAAGAAAGGCGATAAACAAAAAAATGAAGTGTGTAATATAAGTCACATAGAAAAAATATGGCTTGAGCTAGAGAATGAGGGGAGAGGAGGTGGTCAGGAGAGGCCTCCCTGTTGAGGACATTTTGATCAGTGACTCCAAAAGCTATTGTGGGCTCTCTAGATCTAGAATTGACAGAGAGGGTTACAAAATGCTTTCCCCTGCCACCTCCACTCCCATGGAACGAGGACATCTAGAAATAAATTTTGCTATGGCTGGCCTCGTGACTGAAATCAATTATTTTCTCTCTCAGGCTTCAGAATTCTCACTTGTGTGAGAAATTATGACAAAGGCACAAAAGGCAAATATAACTCATTAATTCAGCAAATTTCTTCCAAGTACCTACTATGTGCCAGGAACCTTGCTGGCATGGGAGTTCTGTGAATAAAATAGTCATTGCCCTCAAGTGGCTCACATTTTGGAGGAGGAGACCAGGAGCAACAGAAAATCACAATACCAAATCTTGGAGACTGTAGCTCTTCAGAGGAGGCACCTAAGCCACCAACATGTGGTCAGGAAAGGCTTTCCAAAGACCACAATCTCTGAGCATACAGCGTTCCCCATAAAGTGCTTTGCTAATGACTAAGAAAGCCAAAAGTGAACATGAATCCTCTCTTATCAGCCTTAAATCTTTCTCATCACCACTCACCACACATATGCACTCAAACACACTTGCAAACACACACACACACACACACACACACACACACACACACGTTCTGGACCAAGCATGCCATTTTGCTGCTTAGAAGAGTGTAAATCCCGCATGCTAGCTTTGGCATTTTTGCATCCTCTACCTAGATGTGCTTCTGCCTATGTGCAGCTACCAAGTCCCATTCATCACAGCTCATAATGCACTTTAGAGAAGGCTTCCCCACTCTGTGCTGGCTGTAATTAACCTCTTTTTTCTAAGCTCCCATTGCAGCCTATATCATGATTATGATATATTTACCATGAAATTGGATTTATGTTTTCCATGACATGTTTCTGTGACATCTAGCAAAGACTAGATGGTAAGCTCCTCAAAGACAGAGCCGTGTCTCCTTTATTTGTATATCCTTAAGACTGTGCATAGTATCTGGCAAATAGTAGGTGCTCAACAAATGTTTCTTTATTCCCTTTAAAAATCTTTTTTTTTATTAATTGTCTATGAATATTTCTTAGCTCAAATTAAATTGAGTTGAATGGAATAGAAGCATGTAGGAGTTGAATTAAAATTTCCCTTCAGCGACTTGCTACTGAAGATGCTATGAATGGAGATTTTAAGAATTAATTTCTATAGGATTTATATAAATAAGTAATTTTTTCCAAAAATTCAAATTCCCTCAGGCATTTGGGAGATTTTTTTCATAGTCAAAAATGATCAGGTCCTGTCTGATGAAATTAAAGTCCTGTCTGATGAAAAGTGATATTATTTATCTATTGGTGGAATTGGGTAGATTAGGAAGCTGTCGGTTGCTTGAGTCTACTAGGTTTAACTAGATTGTAGTGTCTGGCAAGATAGAAAACACTAAAGGACCCAGCCATGAGTGAGAAATAGAAGAGAAAGCTGAATGAAACAGGAAATAAACCACCAGTTACAAAGGGCCAGAGACCAACATGATGGGTTCTGCTGTCATCAAAATGTGCTGTCAGAGTCCAAATAACTGTGAGCTCAGGAGGACTCTCAGAGTATCTCACTGAGGAGCCAGTCCTGCTCTAAAGAGTGCTAAGCAGATTTCACCAAAATATCCATTTATTACTTCACATTGGGACATTTCTGAGATGTTTTGTCTTGGGTCTTTCTAAGACTGACCACTTTGGAAGAAAATGAGACAGTTCAACAAAAGGAAGGGGCTTATGGCTTCTGCCTGTTGGCCAATTTGCTGAATTTGTTGTTTCCAAACAACCCTCTTGGGCACCAGACACAGGCTCTGGGTGCTCTCTTCCATGCTGGAGAGCTGGCCTGTACAGCTGGTAGCTGGGTCATCTAAAGGTTACCCTGCCCATGCCAGATTCTCCTGTGGTTTCCAGTGGTAAGTAGGAAAAAGATGATGCAATTCAGCCTTTCCATTGCTGTGCGGGCTTTATTTATACTCTACTGGGTTATTTTCTCTTCTTATGACTGCTGCCATCTCCCCTGGGGCTTTCTGAGGCTGCTCTAGGAAGGTATATTTTTTATTTTGATATTTTTTGGCTCTGCTGAGCATTTGCAGAAACAATAAACAAATGGAAACAAAATGCACAATACATGGGAATACAGGGGACTACTGAGAAGCTGCAGTGAGAGAGAGCTGATGTCAAAGATGAAGAAGGTTTCGGACTTAGGCCTTCTAGGCTACTCTGGCTGCTGGCGGATGTCATGAAGATATCTGCATAGTTGAGCTAGACTCAAGTCATGACTTCCATCTAACTACCTAACTAGGTGACTTTTTTCTTTTGCCTACCAAAGAACTTTCACAATACATCCTTGTTCACTACTCGCTCATTTATTCAATGAGCATTTCTTGTAAGGTGGCAACAGACTCAAGCCTTGGCTCTGAGTTTGTGCTTTATCATTGCCTCACTGTGCAATCTTTGGGAGGAAACTCTACCTCAATTTCACCTCAGTTGGGTCTCATGTGGGTCTCCACTTCACCATTCGCAAGCATAGAATTTTAGAATGTGATCTCGGTGAAGGCAGGAAAACATCAACTTGCTCATTTTTACATTCCAAGTGCCAAGCACAGAGACTGACTCCTATTAAATGCTCAGAATACTTGTTAAGTCTAAAGATTACAGAATGTGTTATATTAGACTACAGGATCTCCAATATTTCAACATGGTCCACCAATCTTTGCATGTATCTCTGGGGACTTTCTCCACCTTTTGGTCTGAGTACCCAATCAACTTCTCAGCCATGGGGTTTCTGGGGTCTATGCAGAGAGCACATATTATTTGCAACACTCCAACCCTTAACCCTGAAAATGCACCTGCTCTCTGAATTTCCATAGCACCAGCACTAACACACTCACTTCTATCTAAACACACACCACACCATCTGGTCTTTTACTTGTCCCTGCTCCTCACTAGATATGAACACATTGAAGACAGGTTCTCTTTTTATTTCTGTATTATCAGTGATCAGCCTAGTGCCTATGTATTGAATGGAATTGAAGAATTATTATTATTTTTCATCCTTAATCCTCATAGTATGACAGCATAGGCTCTAATAATATTTTAACAGTTTTGATGATACTTTTTTTCTTGATATGGTGTGTGCATAACTGTCTCTTTCTGATTTTCTCTGTGCATCTCTCCATCTTTTCCTCTCATCAGTGTGGTACAATGGTCAATGATGAGGTTTCTCCAGAGCACACAATTACGGAAGCTGAGAAATCCCATGATCTGCCATCTGCAAGCTGGAGACCCAGGATAGCTGGGGATATAATTCAGCCTGAGTCTGAAGGCCTAAGGATCAGAGGAGCAGATGGTATAAACCCCAGTCTGAAGGTGGTAAAAAATGAGGCAAAATTTCCCCAATCAAGCACTGAGTCAGAAAAAAAGGGGACAAATTCCTCCTTCCTCTGCCTTTTGTTCTGTTCAAGGCCTCAATGGATTGAATGATGCTCACCTGTATTGGAGAGGGCAATCTGTTTTACTGGGTCCATCAATCCAGATGATAATCTCATCCAGAAACATCTTCAGAGACACACACAGAAATAATTTTTAAGCTGGGTACTCTGTGGTACAGTCAGGTTGATACATACAATTAACCATCACAGTTAAGAACATGGGTTTTGGATTTAGATTTTTGTGGCTTCGAGTCTTGCATTTTCTAGCTATGTGACCTTAGGAAGTTAACGTCTCTATGTCTCCCCCCGCCAGGTTCCCACAATGAAAACTGGGACAATAATACCGTTTACCTCATTCTGCTCCTATGAGCATTAAAAGGACACAAAGAAGCACTTGCCACATAGTAAACATTCAGTAAGTGTTAGTAAATATTATTGCTGCTGTTGTTATTGATCACATATTTTGTGTTAGACACCATTGTAGGTCCTGTGAACAAGAGAGAAAATTTCTCTGTTCTCATTGAGCTTAATTTATAGTGAATCAACCCCTAAACTTCTGACTTTCCTGTGAGAGACAACTCTTTATGTTTTAGCAGCCACTTACACTTTAGTATAAATCAAGTAGTGGAGCCTTCCTGGAGAGGAAGTTTTGATTGTGGAAGGAAGAAACATGAGGCCATGGAGCACCTGTCTTGAAGGTGAGAAAGAGAAAGAGAAGAGAAGGCTGTGTTATTCAGGAAATAAACCACCAGTTACATAATTTTATTGCCTCCCCCTGTCTCCAGGCCATGGTCAGCAAGTTTAATTTATTGGTTTTTATGAGCAGCCGCAAGGCTTGTCCCATCAATTCTTTGTTTTTGATGGCTGTGGAGTGACTCAGACTATTAGCCTTGTATGATTACAGCATCTGTATTACGATGTCGAGGACATGTTGCTACTTCAATTTATTCCTTTTATTTAGTTCACTTTGTCTCACTCAGCATATCACTCAGCTTCTGTTCAAGAGAGCAGTGGTGATGGACAATTTCTCTTTCTCTCTCCTCTCATGATATTCCCTCTCCTTTATGCCCTTCTGTCTTTGTTGGTGTCTTGTTTAAAGGAAGATTTGTGGATCTCCTGGTTTTCTCTACATTGGCTGACCCTCGGGTCTGCAGCTCTCAGCAATGCGGCACCTCTCCATGGTACTGAAAACAAGCACGTGGTTCTAACTCTGCAGTGGCAGCCAGGAGAGCCTGGAGGATCCTAACTTGCAGCAGCAGGCAGTGGCTTGAGAAAGCATCCTGTCCAGTCCCCTTTATTTCAACAAAAATGGATTAGAGACCCAGAAATGAATAATGATCTCCCTAAGGATGATGTACATTTCTTGTGAGACCAGAATACAGCTTTTCTGGAGACATATTCAGAGCTTCAGAGACGAGCTAAGAAAATTATTTGCTCTCCTTGGCCTTCGTTTTAATCATCTGTGAAATGGAGAAATACCAATTTTTTTTTACAACTACTGTGACATATAGATTAGATAATGTGTGTAAAGTCCTTAGTGCACTGCATGCCTCATGTCTACTTCTCTACCTTTACCTTCTGCTGCTTCCTGCCTGACATGTTGTGCTTTAATAATATGAAAAAATTTACAGTCCCCTCTTCCCATATCATGCTGCTTTATGACTTGCTCATACTGTTCATTCTGTCTATGATGCCCTTACAAATCCTTCTCTGACATTCCAATACCCACACCTTGCTCACAATTCAGATCAACTGACATCTTTAGAAAGCCTAGTTTGCTCTTCCCTGATCCCCTCAATGTGGATTTGGTGTCCTTCCAGGTGCTCTTATGCCACTCTATGCCATTAACTTTACATTCCTCTCTGTCAAGACACCCAGTACATGATCATGAATATCTTGGTGTCTCTGACTTATTGAACTGCAGGCTCTTTGAAAGAAGGGGTCCTATGCCATTATCTCTAGCACAATACATGTCGCCAAGTCAGTGCTCAATATTTGTGGTTTTTAACTGAACATGATAGGAGCTTAAAACATATGAGTTTCTTTCTTATTCCAAGTCCAGGGCTCTCTTTCCATAATGTACTGTCTCCAGCTTGTTGGAAAGCTTTTGTGCTGGATACAAGTGAGAATATCTTTATTTGCTAATGCCAAATACTTGTAGGTATTCTTTGGTTTGCTGTGGGCCATCTTTTGGGTAGGATGGATTTATATCAATGTGATTTGTCATTGCTTTTAGCATAGATTCTCTCCAAATCAGATAATTCACACAAGCCATGAATAAGATCCAGAGGGGAGAGGGTATCTGCCTCCATGAATTAACTACAAAGTCATCATGATTCCAGCATGTAAGAATCCGTAGCAAATTCTAAATCATCACAAGACTCCTATTTAATATTCACTGGGAAGAAGAGCTTCTCTTATTTTAGGAAAATTAATTGCCTTTCAAATTGATCTAGAAGTTTAAGTCCATTTTTATAGTTCAGTGGGGCTAAGTATTCACTTTTAATATCAAGTCCATGAAAGTCTAAACTTTAATGGTTTCCCTCAAACTTTAAAATCATGTGTTATTGAACTCTCAGTGACATCACTAAAAATCACTTAGTTTAATGAGGGGAAAATGACTGGAATCTAAACCAAAACATTGAGGTTCCATTCCTGGTCTGATAATGTTCTATGTAAATGATCTTGAGGAAGTCACTTCACCTCTCTTAGCCTTTTGTCAATCATCTTTAAAATGGGAATAGTTACAGCCATCATATTATCTTTATTAGAGATGCTAAGAGGATACACTAGATTGATGCAAAGGTACAGTGAAAAGTGTAAAATTCTCTACAAATCAAGGCACAGAAAAAAGGTAATACCTTGGAAAGGTAGAAACTGGTAGTTGGAAAGAAAAAGGGGTAAAAAAGTGGATGGCAAAAGCTACAGAAATGTTTGTTCAATGCAAATGCGTGATAGGAGAAGAAAGCCTAGAGACAGCCTACACAAAGAAAGCTCTAGAGAGACCATAGCATTATTATGTCTAAGTGGGGGTGGATAGGGAAACTAAAATTAGTTACTGGGTGGTGTCAGACTGGGACTGACAGAGCCAGTTCAGGGTATTCTTGCATGAAGTTATTTGGTGCTGAACTAAGGCTACATAAGCCTGTGTATTATTGAAGGAGCAGAGAAATATGACCAGCACACATAAAGATTTCCCCTTTAGCAATAAAAGTCTAAGCAAGCCAAATAAAGAAGCCTCAAAGATTACTTTGTCTCAAGTTTCCAAGTTAATTTGTTTCACTAGAATGTAACTGCAATGGGTCTTTTAAATGGGAAGCAAAAATATAAGGAGAAGAGGGTCAAAGGAGGGGCTTATGAACTTAAAATAATAGCAGTATTTATTTTCACTTATTATGTACCAGGCACTATACTAAAAGACGAACTTTTCACAGTAACAGTAGAGGTATCTGCTTTCATGCTGACATTACATGACTGTGTACATATGGCTGGGAGAATGCTCAAGAAGTAGATCTTTATCTGCACAAGAGTATTTTGAGAGCTGATTCTTCCCACTTCAGGGAAGCCATTGTTATTAAATTGTAGACTTTAATAGAGACTAAGGGATAGAATTTCAGAAGGCTGAGATTGCTACCGGGCACCTTTTCCAGCCATACTGGAAAATTTTCCATTTCATTATACCATTGTGCTGATGTATTCCTGATTTATAAAGAGATCCAGACAGAAACTTCAGATAAGCAGGAAGAGGTATTTTTGGAAAACACATTTACGTCATTTGGAGTAAAAGATACCAAGAGATTTCAAGAGAGTAAGTGGAGGCCATTAAAGTTGTTCCAGACATAATCTCCATCCCATATAATTTGTCAGTTTAAATGTAAATGAACAAATATTTGTTCTTTGTGTATACTATTTGAGGTGTTGAGACCTCAGAGATGATTAAAAGACTCTATATTTAAGTTGCATGTTAAACATGGAAGCAAACTCTTTGCTGCTCTTTTTTTTCTTTTTTTTTTTTTTTTTTTTTTTTTTGAGGCAGTCTTGCTCTGTCACCCAGGCTGGAGTGCAGTGGTGTGATCTCAGCTCACTGTAGCCTCTGCCTCCCAGATTCAAGGGATTCTCCCACTTCAGTCTCCTGAGCAGCTGGGACTACAGGTGGGCATTACCACACCCAGTGAATTTTTGTATTTTTAATAGAGACAAGGTTTCACAATGTTGGTCAGGCTGGTCTTGAACTCCTGACCTCAAATGATCTGCCTGCCTCAGCCTCCCGAAGTGTTGGGATTACAGGCATGAGCCACCACGCCTGGACTTTGCTACTCCTTTTGAATCTCAGCTGACTTTAGTGACTTGCTTGACCAATAGAATATGACAAGTGAAACAGTGGGACTTTTGAGGATAGGTCATTCAAAGCCTTGCATCTCCTGATTAGGCCCCTTGAGGCAGTTGCTCTTAAAACCCAGTTGCTGAGCAAAGCCCCCCTATCCCATGAATATGCCTAGTTGATGACCCTTCCTGAGCAGCAGCCAGTATCAACTGCGAACCATGAGAGCAAGCCATCTCATGCATCCAGCCCAAGGTAGTCTTCAGGTGACTCTGGCTCCAGCCACTGACTATAACCACATGAGACACCCAACTAAAGAACCACCCAGCTGAGCCCAGTTAATGCATAGAACTGTGAGATATAATCGAAAAGTTGTTTTAAACCTGTATCTTTTTTTAAATTTTAAGTTCCAGGGTCCATGTGCAGGATTGCCTATGTATGTTACCTATGTAACATAGGTAAATGTGTACCATGGTTATTTGCTGCACCTATCAACTCATCACCTAGGTATTAAGCCCAACATGCATTAGCTATTTTTCCTGATGCTCTCCCTCCCTCCAGCCCTAACAGGCCCCAGTGTGTGTTCCCTCCCTGTGTCTATGTATTTACATTGTTTGGCTCCCACTTACAAGTGAGAACATGTGGTGTTTTGTTTTCTGTTCCTGCATTAGTTTGCTAAAGATAATGGCTTCCAGCTCCATCTATGTCCCTGCAAAGGACATGATCTCATTCCTTTTTATGGATGCATAGTATTCCACGGTGTATATGTACCACATTTTCTTTATCCATTCTATCATTGATGGGCATTTGTGTTGATTCCATGTCTTTGCTATTGTGATTAGTGCTGCAGTGAACATACATGTGCATCTATCTTTATAATAAAATGATTTATATTCCTTTGGGTATGTACCCAGTAATGCAATTGCTGGGTCAAATGGTATTTCTGGTTCCATGTCTTCGAGGAATCACCACACTGTCTTTCACAATGGTTGAACTAATTTACATTCCCACCAACAGTGTAGAAGTATTCCTATTTCTTCACAGCCATGCCAGCATCAGTCATTTCTTGACTTTTTAATAATTGCCATTTTGGCTGGTGTGAGATAGTATCTCATTGTAGTTTGGATTTGCATTTCTCTAATAGTCAGTGATGTTGATCTTTTTTAAAATATGTTTGTTGGCTGCATAAATGTCTTCTTTTGAGAAGTGTCTGTTCATGTCCTTTGTCCACTTTTCAATGTGGTTGTTTTTTTCTTGTAAATTTATTTACGTTCATTGGATAATAGATTCTGGATATTAGACCTTTGTCAGATGGATAGACTGCAAACATTTCCTTCCATTTGGTAGGTTGTCTGTTCACTCTGATGATAGTTTCTTTTGCTGTGCAGAAGCTCTTTAGTTTAATTAGATCCCATTTGTCAATTTTTGCTTTTGTTGCAATTGCTTTTGGTGTTTTCATCATGAAATCTTTGCCCATGTCTATGTCCTGAATGGTATTGCCTAAATTTTCTTCTGGGTTTTTATAGTTTTGGGCTTTACATTGAAGTATTTAATCCATCTCAAGTTAATTTTTGTGTAAGGTGTAAGGCAGGAGTTCAGTTTCAATTTTCTGCACATAGCTAGCCAGTTTTCCCAGCACCATTTATTATATAGGGAATCCTTTCCCCAATGCTTGTTTTTGTCAGGTTTGTCGAAGATCATATGGTTGTAGATGTTTGGTCCTATTTTTGAGTTCTCTGTTCTGTTCCATTGGTCTACATGTCTGTTTTTATACCAGTACCATGCTGTTTTGGTTACTGTGGCCTTGTAGTGTAGTTTGAAGTCAGGTAGTGTGGTGCCTCCAGCTTTGCTCTTTTTACTTACAATTGTCTTGGCTATGTGGGCTCTTCTTTGGTTCCATATTAATTTTAAAATAGGTTTTTCTAATTCTGTGAAGAATGTCAATGATAGTGTAATAGGAATAGCATTGAATCTACAAATTACTTTGGGCAGTATGGCCATTTTCATATTGATTCTTCCTATCCATGAGCATGGAATATTTTTCCATTTGTTTGTGTCCTGTCTGATTTCCTTGAGCAGTGGTTTGTAGTTCTCCTTGAAGATGTTCTCCACTTCCCTTGTTAGGTGTATTCCTAGGTATTTTATTCTTTTTGTGGCAATTGTGAATGGGAGTTCATTCATGATTTGGCTCTCTGCTTGCCTGTTGTTGATATACAGAAATGCTTGTGATTTTTACACATTGATTTTGTATCCTGAAGTTGCCTATCAGCTTAAGAAGCTTTAGGGCTGAGACAATGGGTTTTTTCCTAGATATAAGATCATGTTAAATACAGGGATATTTCTAGATATAAGATCATGTTATCTGCAGAGACAGTTTGACTTCCGATTTGAATACCCTTTATTTCTTTCTCTTGCCCAATTGCTCTGGCCAGAACTTCCAATACTATGTTGATTAGGAGTAGTGAGAGAAGGCATCCTGTCTTGTGCTGGTTTTCAAGGGGAATGCTTCCAGCTTTTGCCCATTCAGTATGACATTGGCTGTGGGTTTGTCATAAATGGCTCTTACTATTTTGAGATATGTTCCTTCAATATCTAGCTTATTGAGATTTTTTAACATGAAGGATGTTGAATTTTATCGAAGGCTTTTTCTGCATCTATTGAGATAATCATGTAAACCTGTATGTTTCACATGGTTTGTTATGCAGCAAAAATATCTGGAACACCGTCATAAAGAAAGTCTCAGTCAGAGAATGGGAAGCAGATATATGAACAGATGATTTCAACATATGTAGTAAATGCCACTGCAGTGTAAGCAGAAGATGCTCTGGAGTTAGGCTAGACCTCAAGCAGTCAGAAGGTGTACCCTCTAGAACAAGCTCTGCTGCTTTTATTCATGTGTGCATCGCCAGGATTCCATCAACTGGAGGGCTGTTTCCTTTCCAGTGATGAGACTTCATGATTATATAGATCTCATATTATTTCTGAGCCTCAGTTTATCCCTTTGTAAAATTAGAGATAATAAAGAGGCAAAGAATCTAAGATAGGCTGTGGAGATGAGACAGAAAGAGGGATAGGAATAACGCTCCATCTCACTGAAACGACTTTGAGAAGACTTTTACTGTAGCAAAATGAACATAAGCCCTGTGGTCAGAGGCCTGGGCCAGGTAACTGTGCCATGGGCACAAGGTAAGGCTGACAGCTTTATGCATTGCCTTCCTTCCAGATCTGTGCTTAATACCAGCTCTCTTCTCATGTGGCTCTGTGTGACTGGAGAAGCCAGGTTGGGGGAACTGAGAGAGAGAGGCAGGGTAGCAGTGTAAACATCATGAGGCAAGAAGCCATGTGGGTTCATGTCAAAGCCAAGTGATACAGAGTATTGGCAGAGCCATTCAAGGGCAGGCTGGAAAGGGTTAACAGAGCCCATGGGCCAGCTGGCATCTGTGCTGGCACTCAAGGAGAGAAAGGAAAGAAGCCCCAGTGTCAAGCTAAGAAAGAGAAACAAAACAAAATACCAGAATTTTAGCCAAATTCCCAAGTTCCCATATGGATGGAGAAGGAAACATCCAGCCAACTCCATGTAACAGCCTCTGGTCAGAAAAGACCTCAAGACTAGGCAAGTCTGTCAACCCACCTGGAAAACTCATCTCTGTTGGATGGCTTGCCAGAGACCCAGATTCTCCCTGATTCTATGTGGCAAGAAAAGGTGGGTTTTCCCTTCTATTATTTATGCATCTACCCACCCATTCATCCTCCCATCCATCAATTTGTGCCTTTCACAGCAAACATGTATTAAACACGTACACTGAGCCAGGCACTGTGTATTAGGTAACTAGGACTGTAGACAAATCAATATGACAAAGACAAATAAAACAACATGGTCTTTGCCTTCGAGGACAAAGTCTGTCAAGACTAGACAATGTGGGCAGCTCCAAAATGAGCTGGAAGATGAAGCTTGTGGGAGGAAAAAATAACACTTACTGATCATTTGTTATGAGCCAGACACTGTTCTAAGAGTTTTACAGGAATTATCTCATTTAATCCTCACAATTTACCTACAAGTTTGGCAATGTTATTAGTCATGTTTTACAGCCGAGGAAACTGATGCTCAGAGACAAAGTGACTCGCGCAAGTTTGCACAGTCACTTATGTGTCAGAGTTCTGATCTGAACTGATTCAGGGCTAAAGAGTAGAGCCTGGACAAGGACAAAGGCAGGAACTGGGCCTCAATGTGCCACCGAAAGTCTTGTCTCTGGGTGGGAATGGATGATTGGATGAAAGGGGTAGGGTGGTCAGGGTAGAAAGCTATGGGGACAGAGACAGGTCCTGCCCCAGAAACCCAAATGACAGAGTAGCATCTACATTTTAAGGGTCATTTCTAGCTGAGCAGATACTACTCCAGGCCTGCCACCCCATTCTGTTTTGGCAGAAGGTATTTTCTACTCCTCTGCTGAGAAGATACTTATGAAATACAAATTCTTCTTCTCTCTGCTTCCTGGCTTGCCTCTTTTACCCATATGCGCACTGACAGATGGATGGGCTACTGAGGCAGCTGAGAATGAGAACAAGAGAGGAGAGCGCTGGGGCTTGGGGGGTGGGGAAGGACTCCAGTGCAATTTTACCAAGCAAGGCTGTATGTCTGAATGTTTGAAGGAAAGTTCTTTTAAAAAAAATTCTGTCTACTATTACTTACATGGTGGTTGGGGAAGTGAAAGGCAATTGGGGTGGGGGGATGGGTCACTGGCGTATTACTCCCTGTGGGTTTCCCAGCAAAGTTGGCTTCTTCTCTGCAAGCTATTTTCCTTGTCTGGAGTCAGTTCACACCTAATATGGAAGGATCGCTTTTAGTCTATACTTGTTGCTATGGTAGCTTCAGAAGCGGCTGCCGACAGAGCTGGGAGCAGTCGCTCCCTCTTCTCCCAAACTCTTTTGGCACAAGGCAGAACAAGCATGGTTTCAACACCATGCAAGTGTCAGTGAATGGCATGTCTTTTATTTTGGGAAATATCTTTCCAGTGGGCAGAGTGGCAACTTTTGATGGTCCTTCAGAGCCTCAGCTCTGCTCATTCCATATCATATGTGCCTTCTATTGCCTGCTCCCCACCCCACACTCCTTTTTTTTTTTAGAACAAAGGCTGAAAATGGCCCTTATAAATATTTCAAATGATTTAGCTAGTTGGATTAAAATGCAATCTTCTGGTTAGTTTTTAAAATAATTTCAAATAAAAGAGTGCTATAAATAAGCAGAAAACTTATTTCCACTAGGAAGAATGTTTCCCACTATGAAAATGAGAGGGCATAGGGAAAGGAAATGATGTGAAACATGGTAACACATTATATGATAGAGTGGATAGGGTAGTGAGTGGGACAGGTGGCTAGTGGTGACTGAGACATACTTGGTCCTTGCCCTTAAGCAGTTTCCAGTCAAGTGAGTGAGAGACATACTGAATAAGGAAGTACCAGTTAAAAAGTGGGATGAGATACTGTGAGGCAGTGTAGCAGCATCATATCCCCATCTGAGATACTCAGGGAAGGCTTCTCTGGGGAAGAAACACTTAAGATAAAAGTGAAGAGGCATGATGTGGGAATCCTAGGATCTATTCCCTGGAAAAGAGTTCAGCACATATGAAGATTCTGAGGGGAGATATGGTTGGGACATTAGGAGGAATTAAGTCTCTGTATAGCTGTAGCAGAGAGTAAGAGGGAAAAAGCATGAGATACAAAGATGAGGATGATGAGGAGGAGGAAGATGTGATGATGGTAATGATGATAACAATGATGATGACGGGGTGGTGATGATGGCGGTGGTAGTGGTAGTGGTGGTGATAGTGGTGATAGAAACAACTTAAAAGCATCTACAATGTCCCAGTCATTGTTCTAAGTGCTTTACATACATGCATTCATTTATTCCTCACAACAGTCTTGTAAAGTATGTACTATTATAAGATTCATTTTATTACACAAATGAAGAAACTGAGAAACAGAGAAGTGAAATACCTTGCCTAAGATCATAAAGGAAGTGTATAAGTAGCTTGGGTCTAGGGTCTAGGTAAATGAGGACTTGCCATTCATAAAGAGTTTGGATTTTATTCTCTGGATAATGTGAAGCCATCAAAAGATATTAAGTAGGAGAGGAACATCTGCACTATAGAAAAAAAAACACTCTTGCTGCAGGAGGTAGAGTGGATTGGAGGGAGGGGGAGTGGAGGCAAGGATACTAGGTAAGAGGCTGACATATGTATTCAGATGAGAGGTGAAGATGAGTTGGATTGGGGGGTGCTAGTGGAGATGGAGAGATATAGGTGGATCGGAGGTATTAAGGAGGTAGAATCTACAAAACTGAGGGCTGTCTGGATGGGAAGGCTGAAGGTAGTCAAGGAAGAATCCCAGGTTTCAGGCTTCGTCACTTGTGTGAATTGTCAGCCCTCAATTCAAATTCCTGGAGTTTGGTGGGGGTGGGGGCTCCCCACAGGAAAATCAAGGTAATAGATGCTGAGTAGGCAAAGATAACAATGGCCACATCAAAAGTCAGAAATAAAATGTCTATCCTTTGCTCTCTCTCCAATTCCCTTCCGTCATGATGTCCCATCCTACTTGTATCATTACTGTCCTTCGTGCTTGATAATGATTTAGGCAAAGGAGTTTCCTTCTTGCTCATCTTCCCCAACCTGTCTTTCTCCCCAAACACACAAGCTGTGCCCATTTCACCATTAATGGAATGCTCCTCTCCTCTCTGCCAACCTCCATCCATGTACAAAGACATGGCCCATCCCAACTCCTCTTAGAGCCCTTATAGATCACTCTTCTCTTAGCCTCTTTTGCTCTTACGGTCTCTAAAGTAAGATCACCTTAAAGATTGTCAGATATCTTTCTTGGTCTTGCTTCTGTAACTAGATGGTGCACTCCTTGGGTGCCACCCCCACTCCCTGCCCCCATGGCTTTCTTGAATGTTACTTCATTTGAAACCCTCCTCAATTCTGCAAGATCCAAGGGCAGGTGGCCTCCTCCTCCTCCTCCTTCTTTATTACAGATAGAAAAGCTGAGACTGAGATAATCTAAATGACTTGCCCAACATGATGTAGCTGGAAAGTGCCAGGTAGGATTTAGAAATTCTGAATCTCTCATTTTTTATTTGCAGGCTGTAAAAGATTCTACCAGAAATTGGGTAATTACCAAGTATGTCAGGTATCAAGCTCAGCATTTTACATGTTTGTCTTTATGACAATCCTATGAGGTAGCATTGCTACGATCCCCATTTTACACACAAAGAAACTCAAGCTCAAGAGAAGTGGAATAAAATGCCCAAGGTCTCGGGTGGCTGAACCAGAATTGGAAAGCAGGTCTATTTATTGCCAAAGTGCATTCTGATGATCCCCATGCTAGGCTGCCCCTATTCTTGTTTCCACACCAGCTTCAGCCCTTCTGCTAAATGCCCAGAAAGAGACAGGAGATCAGGGAAGGAAGAGAACACAGTGTGGCTAAGGGAAGCAGAGCATGGAAGACAAAGGGTAGACATGGATGACTCCTCACAGGAGGTGGGAGCCTCCTGTCTTAGAGGAGGTCAGGTTTCTACAGAGGATGTTTCTTCTCTCTGGAGCTCACACTGCAGATATCCTTACATGAAGACATGTCCTCTCTCTTCCCACTCCATGGCAGCCTCTTCTTTCTGCTGCTTGGCTGAAGGTAATTCTTTCCTTCCCAGAATCTCCCACTCAGGGTGTGCAGATGGTTAGGCCTGATCACTTGGAGTCATCCCGTTGATGAGGCCAATATAAATGCATGACAGAGTCCAATTCCAAACACTCGTTTCTATGAGAGCTCAATGGAGCCGATCTGCAAAGTCACGGCAAAGGCTCTGACTGATGGGCAGAAGGAGGCATTTGAAGGTTAGATCTCTTCAGAAAACCTCCTCTTCACAGCCACTGGGTTACTTCAGGGACAACATCTTTGGTGACAATATCTACCTTTGGGCAGATAAGCATGGCAGCTGCATATTTACAACCAAACCATCCTCCATGGAGCAGAGTTCTGAGAAGAAAGACTTCCTATAGGCCTTTGAGGTTTCCCTTGAAGGGACTTGGTACAGTGGAAAGAGTATGGGCTTTGTGCCCTCGGCTCAAATCTCAGAGTTGCTACTTTAGAGACGTACTTCCACCTCTCTGAAACTCAGTTGCTTTATCTGCAAATGAAGGCAATAATACCCTGCTCCAGGGTTGTGAGAATTAGTTTAAATAACTTATATAAAATGCTTATTATAATTCATGGCACAAATTAGGTTCTCACCTTACAATCTCTTTCCTTCTTCCACCCAGAGAGACCAGTCTAATAACAGGCCAGGCCTAGTCCTGGTCTTGTGTTTATAAGCTATGTGTTCTGCAGGAGTTAGGTTTATTAATCTCCATATAACCTGTAGAGTAATTAGAGTGTTTATTCTCAGCTCTTTGGGAAGAAGTAACTATAATTACAGGACCAAATTAAGTGGCATTATCTTTTATTGTCTCATACTGTTTGTAGACTTTTTCTGCCAAGTGCCTTTCAGGAATCTGAGAATTTTTCACAAATCAACTTCTCTTTCAGTGTCTAAATGCTGAACTTACCAGAAAGCTTCAGGTAGAAATTCACTATTTACCTCCTGAGTAGGGTAGGTTTGTGTCTAAAGAGTCCATTTTTGTTACCCTTGGTAGAGATGGCCAGCTGTCCTCCAAAGATCTCTGCTCCTTTTCTGCAGTGTAGAATCATCACTGGAAAGTGGCTTCTAGGCCAGGGCTTAGTTTCTAATCCTTCTCCTTCTCCAGGAGGGGCCACATGCTCAGTTCTCTCCAGTGAGATATGAAGAGAGACCTTCGTTTGCCCCTTCTGGCCTGAAGTGGTTAGGGAAAAGTGTGCCTTCTTAGTTATTTTTTCACTCACCTGCTGACTTGATGAAGGAGATCTTGGATGCCATGAAAATGGCAGAATTTTAATCAGATTCGTCCCTGAATGACTGTATGGAGCACAGGCCCCCCCCGCCTGCTGCTGATCAGGAAAATCTGGTTGAAAATCATATGCTGGATCATTTCCAATTTTGTTAGAGCAGTTTGCTTTACCTTAACTGGTGCACCGCCTGATTCTGTATCCCAAATAAAGGGTCACACTCTTCTAGCCCTGCCTAGTAAGAGATGCAGACAAGTAAATTAATACATTTCAAAACGGTGCAGTAAATGCTATGATAGAGATAATAAGAGAATGCTGTGGGCACAAAGAACTAGGAGTGACTGCCCATAAAATCAAGGAAAGCTTCATATGGCAGGGAACATTTGAGCTGGGCCTTTGTATTAGTCTGTTCTCACATTGCTATAAAAGAAACATCTGAGACTGGGTAATTTATAAAGGAAAGAGGTTTAATTGATCCACAGTTCCACATGGCTGGAGAGGCCTCAGGAAACTTACAATCATGGCAGAAGGTGAAGCAGGCACATCTTACATGGCAGCAGGCGAGAGACAGTATGCGTGTGTAGGAGAAACTGTCAAACACTTATAAAACCATTAGAGCTCGCTATCATGAGAACAGCATGGGGGAAACTGCCCCCATGATCCAATCACCTCCCACCAGGCCCCACCCTCGACATGTGGGGATTATGGGGATTACAATTCAAGATGAGATTTGGGTGGGGACATAGAGCCAATCCATATCAGCTTTCAAATATGAATAGGAGTTCAGCAAAGGATGAAAACTGGGTAAAGAGCATAAGCAAATGCACAGAAATGTGAACCAATGAGATGCACTGAGCCACTGTGAAAAAGCCCCTGGTGTGAAGCAGATTACAATCCAGGTGTGGATGGAAGAATATTCTCCAGCAACCACACAAGTGGGAAGAATTGGATGGGGGTTATGTTGATAGCATGAAGAATAAACTGCTCTGGCGGCTCACAGGACAGAAAAACAGACAGAGGCTATGGGGTCAAGAAAGGCTTCATGGAGGAGGTAAAACTCACATAGCACTGATGAGGCTGCAGAAGAGCATCCTTTGTTAATTTATTTTACTTTATTATAAATTATATATTTTCTCTCTCTTTAGACCATGGTTTCCACCACAGCAGGGATCTGGCTGTATTCATGACTGAGTTCCCAGAGCAATGGCACCACCCTTAGGAGATTCTGACTGAGTGAATGAAAGAGGAAGGATTGAATTCAAGTGGATCCGAGCATGACCTTGCCAGCTCTGTGTGTTGGGAACTGAGCATCAGAGGCAACAGAAGTTTCCCAGTGCAGAAATGCTTTGCCATGGTTGGGAGGTTCCTGTGAAGCTCAATCTCATCTTAAAATCCTTTAGCACGGATGATATTTGAGTAATGACTCTGCCCCAGAGAAAGCTTAAGTGCCAGGAACAGGCTTTAAAAGTCTTTGCATCGGCTGGGCGCGGTGGGTCACGCCTGTAATCCCAGCACTTTGGGAGGCTGAGGTGGGCGGATCACCTAAGGTCAGGAGTTTGAGACCAGCGTGGCCAACATGGTGAAACCCCGTCTCTATTAAAAATACAAAAATTAGCTGGGTGTGGTGGCGCATGCCTGTAATCCCAGCTACTCAGGGGGCTGAGGCAAGAGAATCGCTTGAACCCGGGAGGCGGAGCTTGCAGGGAGCCGAGATCATACCACTGCACTCCAGCCTGGGTGACAGAGCGAGACTCTGTCTCAAAAAAAAAAAAAAAAAAAAGAAAAAAAAAGTCTCTGCAACACTCTCTCTTTTATTCAACCAGCAGTTAGGAAATGCTTCCTAAATGTACAGGGTCTCTGCAAACTGGACACGGCACAAAAGGGGACCCTTAACAAAGAGGGTTCACACCCCAAATTAACTCTACATAACACTCCCCTTCATCAAGTCATGATCTCGTGATCTACATGATCTCTATCATTCTTTATTTCTATGACATTTATGATGTGCATAATCAGTGAAATGAAAAAAAGAAAGCAGCACAGAAAAAATGATAAGACTTAGATAATTTATGCACTAGATAGCCAGTTCTCAAGTCATTGAGACATGATGGTTTTGGTACTCTAATCCATTTTGTGAGTAAGAGGACTCTAGACCCTTCCAGGTAAAAGTCCAGGCTCCTTAATAGGGTAGGCAAACCTTGCCTCTCTCCAGCCTCATCAGCCAACCTTGTCTCTACTCAGCACACACCTTTTCTTCCAGGTCCTTAGGTGTGTACTACTCCCCCATATGCTTTACACACACTGCTTGTTCTCTGTTTTGAAGGTGTCTACTAGTTCTTCGTAATGCATTTAAAGTGTTTTCTTTGCGTAGATTTCCCAGAACTTCCCAACCAGATTTTATCCATCCTTCCTTTGTGAAAAGCACTCTTTTAGGAACAGAGAGAAAAAGAGGCCACATTGCTTTTTTTTCTTTAAAAAAATTTTAAAATTTAAATGATGATAAAATACACATAACATAAAATTTATAATTTTAACATATTTAAGTGTACAGTTCAGTAGTGTTATGTATATTCACATTGTCATGCACTCAATTCCAGAACTTTTTCATCTTGCAAAACTGAAACTCTGTATTAAGTAAACAACTCTCCACTCCTTCCCCACAGCCCTTGGCAACCACCATTCTATTTTCTGTCTCTATGAATAATCTGACTACATTAGGTATCACATATAAGTGGAATTATATAGTATTTGTCTTTTTGTAACTGGCTTATTTCACTTAGCATAAAGTCCTCAAGGTTCATCTATGTTGTAGCATGTGTCAGAATTTCTCTTAAGACTGAACAGTATTCCACTGGTGTATATACAACACATTTTGTTATCTGTTGTTAGAGATTTGGGCTGCTTCCACCTTTGAGCTATTGTGCATAATGCTACTATGAACATTGATATACAAATATCTCTTTGAGACTATGCTTTCAATTCTTTTGGATATATATCCAGAAGTGAAATTGCTGGATCAAATGGTAATTCTATTTTTAACTTTTGAGGAACCACCATACTATTTCTGTAGCAGCTGAACCATTTTATGTTCCCACAAAGAGTACATAGGCTTTCAACTTCTTCACTCTGTTATTTTCTTTCTTTTTAAATTTGTTTTATTTTTTGTTTTTAATAACAGCCATTAAAATGAGTATAAGTTGCTATCTCACTGTGGTTTTGATTTGCATTTTCCCAATGATTAGTGATTTGGGGTATCTTTACATATTTTTATTAGACATTTGTATATATTCTTTGGAGAAATAACTATTCAAGTTTTTGCCAATTTATTTGTTTTTTTGTTGTTGAGTTGCAGGAGTTCTTTATATATTCTGAATATTAAACTCTGTATCAGATATATGATTTATGAATACTTTCTCCCAAAAGTTTGCCTTTTCACTCTTTTGATTTTGTCCTTTTGTGCAAAGAAGTTTTAATTTTGATGTAGTCCAATTTACCTGTTTTTACCTTTATTGTTTCTTCTTTCGGCGTAATATCCAAGAAATCATTGCCAAATTAATGTCACGAAGCTCTTCTCCTATGTTTTCTTTTGAAAGTTTTATAGTTTTAGGTCTTATATTTACATCTTTGATTCATTTTGTGTTAATTTTTACATAGAGTATCACATAAAGGTCTAAATTTATTTTTTTATATGTGGACATCCAATTTTCCCAGCATCATTGGTGGAAAAGATTGTCCTCTCCTTATTAAGTGTTCTTGGCACCTTTGTTAAAAATCATTTGAGTATAGGGGGAGGAGCCAAGATGGCCGAATAGGAACAGCTCCGGTCTACAGCTCCCAGCGTGAGCGATGCAGAAGACCGGTGATTTCTGCATTTCCATCTGAGGTACCGGGTTTCTCTCACTAGGGAGTGCCAGACAGTGGGCGCAGGCCAGTGGGTGCGCGCACCGTGCGCGAGCCGAAGCAGGGCGAGGCATTGCCTCACCTGGGAAGCGCGAGGGGTCAGGGAGTTCCCTTTCCGAGTCAAAGAAAGGAGTGACGGACGCACCTGGAAAATCGGGTCACTCCCACCCGAATATTGCGCTTTTCAGACCGGCTTAAAAAGCGGCGAACCACGAGATTATATCCCACACCTGGCTCTGAGGGTCCTACGCCCACGGAATCTCGCTGACTGCTAGCACAGAAGTCTGAGATCAAACTGCAAGGCGGCAGCGAGGCTGGGGGAGGGGCGCCCGCCATTGCCCAGGCGTGCTTAGGTAAACAAAGCAGCCAGGAAGCTCGAACTGGGTGGAGCCCACCACAGCTCAAGGAGGCCTGCCTGCCTCTGTAGGCTCCACCTCTGGGGGCAGGGCACAGACAAACAAAAAGACAGCAGTAACCTCTGCAGACTTAAGTGTCCCTGTCTGACAGCTTTGAAGAGAGCAGTGGTTCTCCCAGCACGCAGCTGGAGATCTGAGAACCGGCAGACTGCCTCCTCAAGTGGGTCCCTGACCCCTGACCCCCGAGCAGCCTAACTGGGAGGCACCCCCCAGCAGGGGCACACTGACACCTCACACGGCAGGGTATTCCAACAGACCTGCAGCTGAGGGTCCTGTCTGTTAGAAGGAAAATTAACAGAAAGGACATCCACACCGAAAACCCATCTGTACATCACCATCATCAAAGACCAAAAGTAGATAAAACCACAAAGATGGGGAAAAAACAGAACAGAAAAACTGGAAACTCTAAAATGCAGAGCACCTCTCCTCCTCCAAAGGAACACAGTTCCTCACCAGCAACGGAACAAAGCTGGATGGAGAATGACTTTGACGAGCTGAGAGAAGAAGGCTTCAGACGATCAAATTACTCTGAGCTATGGGAGGACATTCAAACCAAAGGCAAAGAAGTTGAAAACTTTGAAAAAAATTTAGAAGAATGTATAACTAGAATAACCAATACAGAGAAGTGCTTAAAGGAGCTGATGGAGCTGAAAACCAAGGCTCGAGAAATACGTGAAGAATGCAGAAGCCTCAGGAGCCGATGCGATCAACTGGAAGAAAGGGTATCAGCAATGGAAGATGAAATGAATGAAATGAAGCGAGAAGGGAAGTTTAGAGAAAAACGAATAAAAAGTAGTGAGCAAAGCCTCCAAGAAATATGGGACTATGTGAAAAGACCAAATCTACGTCTGATTGGTGTACCTGAAAGCGATGGGGAGAATGGAACCAAGTTGGAAAACACTCTGCAGGATATTATCCAGGAGAACTTCCCCAATCTAGCAAGGCAGGCCAACGTTCAGATTCAGGAAATACAGAGAACGCCACAAAGATACTCCTCGAGAAGAGCAACTCCAAGACACATAATTGTCAGATTCACCAAAGTGGAAATGAAGGAAAAAATGTTAAGGGCAGCCAGAGAGAAAGGTCGGGTTACCCTCAAAGGGAAGCCCATCAGACTAACGGTGGATCTCTCGGCAGAAACCCTACAAGCCAGAAGAGAGTGGGGGCCAATATTCAACATTCTTAAAGAAAAGAATTTTCAACCCAGAATTTCATATCCAGCCAAACTAAGCTTCATAAGTGAAGGAGAAATAAAATACTTTACAGACAAGCAAATGCTGACCGATTTTGTCACCACCAGGCCTGCCCTAAAAGAGCTCCTGAAGGAAGCGCTAAACATGGAAAGGAACAACCGGTACCAGCCGCTGCAAAATCATGCCAAAATGTAAAGACCATCGAGACTAGGAAGAAACTGCATCAACTAACGAGCAAAATCACCAGCTAACATCATAATGACAGGATCAAATTCACACATAACAATATTAACTTTAAATGTAAATGGACTAAATTCTGCAATTAAAAGACACAGACTGGCAAGTTGGATAAAGAGTCAAGACCCATCAGTGTGCTGTATTCAGGAAACCCATCTCACGTGCAGAGACACACATAGGCTCAAAATAAAAGGATGGAGGAAGATCTACCAAGCAAATGGAAAACAAAAAAAGGCAGGGGTTGCAATCCTAGTCTCTGATAAAACAGACTTTAAACCAACAAAGATCAAAAGAGACAAATGGTAAAGGGATCAATTCAACAAGAAGAGCTAACTATCCTAAATATATATGCACCCAATACAGGAGCACCCAGATTCATAAAGCAAGTCGTGAGTGACCTACAAAGAGACTTAGACTCCCACGCATTAATAATGGGAGACTTTAACACCCCACTGTCAACATTAGACAGATCAACGAGACAGAAAGTCAACAAGGTTACCCAGGAATTGAACTCAGCTCTGCACCAAGGGGACCTAATAGACATCTACAGAACTCTCCACCCCAAATCAACAGAATATACATTTTTTTGAGCACCACACCACACCTATTCCAAAATTGACCACATAGTTGGAAGTAAAGCTCTCCTCAGCAAATGTAAACGAACAGAAATTATAACAAACTATCTCTCAGACCACAGTGCAATCAAACTAGAACTCAGGATTAAGAATCTCACTCAAAGCCGCTCAACTACATGGAAACTGAACAACCTGCTCCTGAATGACTACTGGGTACATAATGAAATGAAGGCAGAAATAAAGATGTTCTTTGAAACCAACGAGAACAAAGACACAACATACCAGAATCTCTGGGACGCATTCAAAGCAGTGTGTAGAGGGAAATTTATAGTACTAAATGCCCACAAGAGAAAGCAGGAAAGATCCAAAATTGACACCCTAACATCACAATTAAAAGAACTAGAAAAGCAAGAGCAAACACATTCAAAAGCTAGCAGAAGGCAAGAAATAACTAAAATCAGAGCAGAACTGAAGGAAATAGAGACACAAAAAACCCTTCAAAAAATCAATGAATCCAGGAGCTGGTTTTTTGAAAGGATCAACAAAATTGATAGACCACTAGCAAGACTAATAAAGAAAAAAAGAGAGAAGAATCAAATAGACACAATAAAAAATGATAAAGGGGATATCACTACCGATCCCACAGAAATACAAACTACCATCAGAGAATACTACAAACACCTCTACGCAAATAAACTAGAAAATCTAGAAGAAATGGATAAATTCCTCAACACATACACTCTCCCAAGACTAAACCAGGAAGAAGTTGAATCTCTGAATAGACCAATAACAGGAGCTGAAATTGTGGCAATAATCGATAGTTTACCAACCAAAAAGAGTCCAGGACCAGATGGATTCACAGCTGAATTCTACCAGAGGTACAAGGAGGAACTGGTACCATTCCTTCTGAAACTATTCCAATCAATAGAAAAAGAGGGAATCCTCCCTAACTCATTTTATGAGGCCAGCATCATTCTGATACCAAAGCCGGGCAGAGACACAACCAAAAAAGAGAATTTTAGACCAATATCCTTGATGAACATTGATGCAAAAATCCTCAATAAAATACTGGCAAAACGAATCCAGCAGCACATCAAAAAGCTTATCCACCATGATCAAGTGGGCTTCATCCCTGGGATGCAAGGCTGGTTCAATATATGCAAATCAATAAATGTAATCCAGCATATAAACAGAGCCAAAGACAAAAACCACATGATTATCTCAATAGATGCAGAAAAAGCCTTTGACAAAATTCAACAACCCTTCATGCTAAAAACTCTCAATAAATTAGGTATTGATGGGACGTATTTCAAAATAATAAGAGCTATCTATGACAAACCCACAGCCAATATCATACTGAATGGGCAAAAACTGGAAGCATTCCCTTTGAAAACTGGCACAAGACAGGGATGCCCTCTCTCACCACTCCTATTCAACATAGTGTTGGAAGTTCTGGCCAGGGCAATTAGGCAGGAGAAGGAAATAAAGGGTATTCAATTAGGAAAAGAGGAAGTCAAATTGTCCCTGTTTGCAGACGACATGATTGTATATCTAGAAAACCCCATTGTCTCAGCCCAAACTCTCCTTAAGCTGATAAGCAACTTCAGCAAAGTCTCAGGATACAAAATCAATGTACAAAAATCACAAGCATTCCTATACACCAACAACAGACAAACAGAGAGCCAAATCATGAGTGAACTCCCACTCACAATTGCTTCAAAGAGAATAAAATACCTAGGAATCCAACTTACAAGGGATGTGAAGGACCTCTTCAAGGAGAACTACAAACCACTGCTCAAGGAAATAAAAGAGGATACAAACAAATGGAAGAACATTCCATGCTCATGGGTAGGAAGAATCAATATCGTGAAAATGGCCATACTGCCCAAGGTAATTTACAGATTCAATGCCATCCCCATCAAGCTACCAATGACTTTCCTCACAGAATTGGAAAAAACTACTTTAAAGTTCATATGGAACCACAAAAGAGCCTGCATCGCCAAGTCAATCCTAAGCCAAAAGAACAAAGCTGGAGGCATCACACTACCTGACTTCAAACTATACTACAAGGCTACAGTAACCAAAACAGCATGGTACTGGTACCAAAACAGAGATATAGATCAATGGAACAGAACAGAGCCCTCAGAAATAACGCCGCATATCTACAACTATGTGATCTTTGACAAACCGAGAAAAACAAGCAATGGGGAAAGGATTCCCTATTTAATAAATGGTGCTGGGAAAACTGGCTAGCCATATGTAGAAAGCTGAAACTGGATCCCTTCCTTACACCTTACACAAAAATCAATTCAAGATGGATTAAAGATTTAAACGTTAGACCTAAAACCATAAAAACCCTAGAAGAAAACCTAGGCATTACCATTCAGGACATAGGCATGGGCAAGGACTTCATGTCCAAAACACCAAAAGCAATGGCAACCAAAGCCAAAATTGACAAATGGGATCTAATTAAACTAAAGAGCTTCTGCACAGCAAAAGAAACTACCATCAGAGTGAACAGGCAACCTACAAAATGGGAGAAAATTTTCGCAACCTACTCATCTGACAAAGGGCTAATATCCAGAATCTACAATGAACTCAAACAAATTTACAAGAAAAAAACAAACAACCCCATCAAAAAGTGGGCGAGGGACATGAACAGACACTTCTCAAAAGAAGACATTTATGCAGCCAAAAAACACATGAAAAAATGCTCATCATCACTGGCCATCAGAGAAATGCAAATCAAAACCACAATGAGATACCATCTCACACCAGTTAGAATGGCAATCATTAAAAAGTCAGGAAACAACAGGTGCTGGAGAGGATGTGGAGAAATAGGAACACTTTTACACTGTTGGTGGGACTGTAAACTAGTTGAACCATTGTGGAAGTCAGTGTGGCGATTCCTCAGGGATCTAGAACTAGAAATACCATTTGACCCAGCCATCCCATTACTGGGTATATACCCAAATGACTATAAATCATGCTGCTATAAAGACACATGCGGCTATAAAGACGTATGTTTATTGCGGCATTATTCACAATAGCAAAGACTTGGAACCAACCCAAATGTCCAACAATGATAGACTGGATTAAGAAAATGTGGCACATATACACCATGGACTACTATGCAGCCATAAAAAATGATGAGTTCATGTCCTTTGTAGGGACATGGATGAAATTGGAAGTCATCATTCTCAGTAAACTATCACAAGAACAAAAAACCAAACAGGGCATATTCTCACTCATAGGTGGGAATTGAACAATGAGATCACATGGACACAGGAAGGGGAATATCACACTCTGGGGACTGTGGTGGGGTCGGGGGAGGGGGGAGGGATAGCATTGGGAGATATACCTAATGCTAGATGACGAGTTAGTGGGTGCAGCGCACCAGCATGGCACATGTATACATATGTAACTAACCTGCACAATGTGCACATGTACCCTAAAACTTAAAGTATAATAAAAAAAAAATAAATAAAAAAATAAAACAAGAGGACCAAGGAAAAAAAAATCATTTGAATGTATATGTGAAGGTTTATTTCTGGGCTTTTAATTCTATTCAGTTGGTCTATATATCTGTCTCTCAGGC
Organism: Homo sapiens; assembly: GCF_000001405.40. Lineage (NCBI taxonomy): Eukaryota > Metazoa > Chordata > Mammalia > Primates > Hominidae > Homo > Homo sapiens. The sequence goes on along the minus strand of NC_000001.11, from coordinate 58,268,898 downwards.
AGTGCTGCACTGTTTTGATTCCTGTAGCTTTGTAATACATATTGAAATCAAGAAGTATGAAACCTCCAACTTTGTTCCTATTTAAGATTGTTTTGGCTATTTGGGGACTTTTAAGATTTCGTAAAAATTTTAGGATGGATTTTTCTACTTTTCCCAAAAATTATCATTGTGATTTTGATAAGAATTAAATCTGTAGGTTGCTCTGGGCAGTATTTACATCTTAACAATATTAAGTCTTCCAGTCTATGAACATGGAAATTCTTTCCATTTATTTGTGTCTTTTGGAAGCACCTCTTTTGGACCAGCAATCAGGGGCTTTATATATATTATTTCAGATCTCATTCACCCCTATGTCCTCTTGGATTAGTATTTAGAAACAAATGCCAGGAAAAGCTCTACTTTTATGAGGACTTGAAATGTTCCTTCTTCATGTTTCTGCCACACATAGAAGAGAAATCACTTAACTGCCCAAGTTTCCTTTTTCTAATTGTTTCTTGGAAAGATGTAGCTCAGTTTTTAATAATTATATATGACCTATAATTTAACAATTATGAAGGTCTATATATTTGTATTCTTACCTTCACTCAGGTCTTAAATATATCTACTGTAATTTATGCTTTCTCTGGCTCTCATATGTATTTTTTTACTTTATTGTGTACATTTTATAAGCTGCTTTAAATCCCTTATGATTTAAAATATGGCTATAAAAGAATAATTTTTTAAATTAAAGATATATATTATCACCAAATTTATAGGTGAGGAAACTTAAGTTTAGAGTGAGTAAGTAACTTTAGTAAATCATATAGCTCATAAGTGGCAGAATTAGAATTCAAATCTAGATCTCTGATCGCAAAGCCCAAGCATGCAACTCTCCTCTGCGACAATGAGATTGAGTCCCTGCCTGGCTCAGAATCTAGTTAAGTGTGAGTAATTGGATAGACAGATATGGCCATAAACAACTCTCATACAAGCCAGGAATGACAAGGACTGCAATAGGGAGTTTTGAGGGGATATAAACATAGAGAAGGGGACGCAAGGTTTCTTGGAACAGATGAGATTCCAAGTCCAATGATCTAAATAGATATTAATGCATGGAAGCAAGAACTTTTCGAAGAGGGTTTTAGGAATGATTTCATCGTTGGGTTAAAAAAATAGAAGGTATTGTGTATAAGGTTCTTGTTATATACTTATCTAATCCTTATGAGATTGACATATACTGATGTTCGCTCAGCATTCATTTCTCTGGGGAACCATCCTTCCCCATCCCAGGAGATTTAGCAAAGGATGACCTCACACCACCCCTTTTCAGTCCTAGTTCTGACTCCTCTATCACAGTAGGAGACAAGCTAGGCCCAAGGTAGGCCAAGTAAAGCCTTCTTGGAACTTTTTCAAGGGAACTTTTTTGAAAGATGCTGTCTTCCATTGGTCGTGAACTATAAGAATGATATAAACTGGAGGTGCCTGTAGCTGTTTGTGCTGACCCAATGGAAGTAGGGGAGAATGTGATGAACCTGCAAAGAATAGAAGAGCAGAGAAAGAAAGAACCCCGGTGACACTTTTTGAGCATCTCTGTCTCCAGCCAGAACAAATGCTGGATACTCCTTCAAGATTTTAGTTGTCAGAGCAAATACATTTTTTTCTACTTATATTATTTTTTATTTTATTTCATTTATTTTTTTGAGATGGAGTCTAGCTCTGCCGCCCAGGCTGGAGTGCAGTGGCGTGATCTCAGCTCACTGCAACCTCCACCTCCTGGTTTCAAGCAATTCTCCTGTCCTACCCTCCCCAGTAGCTGGGACCACAGGCGTATGCCATGATGCCCGGCCAATTTTTGTATTTTTAGTAGAGACAGAGTTTCACCATATTGGTCAGGCTGTTCTCGAACTCCTGACTTCAGGTGATCCACCTGCCTCAGCCTCCCAAAGTGCTGGGATTAGAGGCATGAGCCACCGCGCCCAGCCTACTTGAATTATTTTAAACTGAACATCTTCCATCTAAAGCCAAAAGAGAACCACCAAGATGGATTACAGTAAGAGTACGGACTACAGCTTGTTAGACATTTGTATATCTTCTTTGGACGATACCTATTCAAGCTCTTTGCCAATTTATTAATTACATTATTGTTTTTTGTCATCATTCATATAATCATTTACTATTCTAGTGTGTTTGGGAAAAATCCTCCAATTCTCTGCTCCTTGGTTCCCTTTTGTATCCATGGATTCATAGGATTCTTAGGAGGATTGGGTGAGAAACTGCATGCAAATGTTAGATCAGAGCCTGGGATAAAGGGTTGCCCTAAACATGTAAACGTTTAAAAATGCTTGCAACTTTATGAGGGCAGGAATACTATCTTTACTTTATGAATGAGAAAAGTGAGGCTCAGCAGGGAGAAAGGGACTTACCAGATGTCCCACAGTTAATGTGTCAGATCCTGGGTAAAAGTCTCCATATGGACATCCAGCTGACTGGGTGCTTCTGTTCTACTCGTGGAACTGCTGTTTCCTGGCAGCAGAGAGAAGCGTGAAGGAGAGAAGCTTGTTCCCTCCAGCTGTCTTCCAGCTTGCTGAGCCCTGTGTAGAATCCTTCCCTACCCTCTTCCCCCACTGAAAAGGCCCCTTCAGACCTACCACCCTGTAGGGAGAGACTCAAACAGCTGCAAAGAAGGTAGGATGCTAGGCCGTATTTGTTCAGGTGGATACAATAGCATCAGACTAGCATGGAGCTCAAATATTGACTCATAATTCTTCAGGCATCTTTGTATTTAAATCATAGCCCTGTCAAGCTCACATTTGATATGCACTAATTAATTCTCCCTGTGAATTGTACTGGATTCTCTTCTCTGTGGTGGTGGTGGTGGTGGGGTGTATGTGTGTGTGTGTATAGAGACAGAGAAAAATTCCTATAAATTGAAGTGATCAAAAATAAGCATCCACCAGTGTCAAACTTAGTATTTGGCTCTCTGTGGCTGATGAGTACCTCCTGGATGAGAGGGCTGGGCAAAATTTACTAGACAAATATGAGTCATTTATGAGGAAATCACCTACAGCAAATGAAGCTAATTTTTTTTATTATCCTTCAACAGTAGGATCACAATCTGTGTTGAAATGGTAAAGTCAAATGCAATGTGGAAATTCATATTTTGCTCCTAAAAATTCTGATCCTATCCTTTTTTCTCCCATTCAAAGTAGTATGGACATTGCTGTCAAGATATAGATAGGATTTGACTGAGGTGTAGGGAAATATTAGGTTATTTAAAGTAGAAAATTCACAGATTTTGCCATAAACAGAATTGATTAATATTCTTTCATGTAATATGAAAAAAAATTGCTGGTTTGATTAGAGGAGTTAATAAAAGTGGGTGAGCATTAGATTATCCTTGTAATTCTACTTATGGATGAGACTACAGTGCAATGTCAATGGAAGTGGGAATTAAAACCAATTGCAAGCTTACTCCTTCTAGAAGAAAGGGAACTGGTCAAAGTTTGGCCAGCTGGAGAACAGAGCAGGCCAGTGAGGAAGACTGAAAGAGTTACACTAAGAGACTCCTCTTAAGTTTGCCTTGAGAGAGAGAAATAAGGAGAGAGAAAGAGAATGTTTGATTTGCCTTTAGACCAATCTGGGATTGAATCTGTGGTCTGCAGTTTCACATTGTGTGACCTTGGGTAAGCCGTGCCACCTCTCTCTGAGCCTCAGTTTCCTTGTTTATTGAATGGGAAGTACATTCTTCCTAAAGGATTCTTTTGAAGATTATAAATATTGTGTGTAAAGTGCCCTCTCCTAGCTCTACTCAATTCTAACTTTCTCTTGTTTCTTCTATCACTTCCTCCTTCCCTTTCCCAACACATTCTACACTCTACTTCTTGCCTCCATTGTGATATTCATTTGAAATTGTTATGAGTTATGCCACATGGTAATATACTGCTTTAGGGATGCTTATGTTTAAATTAAAACCTTTCTTCTAGGACCGTGCAAATCATAGCAAAGAAAATATAGATGACAATAGGCTTATCAGTTATGAGAGATACAGCTAACTGACCATCAAAACTCATGCTTCTCCTTTAATAGAATTAGAATAGAGGTGGCCACTGGGAAATAGCTGCCAAGCCAAATAGCTATTATATTTCCCAGCACCCCCTACATTTAGATGGTGCCACGTGATTAGTTCTCACCCAAAAAAGTGTGAACAGAAGAGATGTGTGTCACTTCAATGGCATGAAAAAACAGACATGGCTTCACCACTTCCTCATTTCTTTCCTAATAGTTTGATGTAGGCAAGCTTGATGTCCTTGGAAGTCATGTGTTGAAGACACAAATAACTTATGCCCCTAAATCATCACGTGGAGGAAAGCCAGCAACCAATTGGGAAAACCAAGTCTGAACTTGAATGAGAAATAACTTATATGAGTATATATGAGCCATATACACTTTAGATGTCTTTGTTACAGCGGCCACTATTACCCTAACTAATACATCAGAATCGTCAAAGATGGCTATATCTATTTATGGAAGTGAGAGGTAGTGAAAGCCAACACATTACAGACAGGATCTAATTATCTAGCTCTTGTGAATTTATTGGGGGTCTCTAAGAATAGATGGTCTCTAAGGTCTCTTAACATCCTACATGAATAACACCAATATCACATATTTAATAAATGTTTGCTATGTTGCAGACTCTGTGCTGAGCACTTTATGTCATTTTATTTTCTTTGGACCTTGCAACAACCCTATGAGGTATCCTCATTTAAAGATAAAAAGGTTTGATGGCTACTGGTAAGTATAGGAAACTTGTAAGGTCAAGCAATCCACAAGGAGTACATTTTCATCCAATTTTGTCAGACTGTAGAGCTTGAGTTTCTCATCGTTGAACTATACTGCCTTCCAAAATCTGCAAGTACATGATTATAAGTGCACACTATACATATCATGCTTTTGTTCCAGGAATTACCCAGAAATTTGGCTATGAAATATTAGTTGGAAGACCAGTGAATGGCTCAATTTGTATTCCAACATTCATTTATGTTGTGCTTTGTTTCAGAATAAGAAATGAGATAAGGGATAGAAAATAACACTAATAGAGCTTCTACAATATATCAGGTACATGCATTACCAAGTCTTCTGAGGTTAGTATTGTTACCACCATTTTACAGACAAGGAAAATAAAAATTAGAGCTAAATAAATGTTGGTTTGTATGGTCAGTCATTCTTTTAAGATATACTTATTGACATTCCACTATGTTGCCAGGTACTATGCTGGCCACAGGAAATTCCAAAGTGAACACAACAAATATGGGCCCTAACATTTCAGAACTTATGGTCTAGCAACTGCCTTATGAGGTAGCAAGCAACATGCCATAGAGATTGATTTAGCAAAATTTGGATGTCTACATACCAGGGAGATTGTGAAGGAAGCTCTGACATTGGGCAGACATTGAGCTACGTGATTTCCAGAGCCCCTTTTTGCCCTGAGATGAACAGGACATTATCTAGTTGGTTGAAAAGGATCACTAGAAGTGATTCAGGGAGAGGAAAAATAAACGACAGGGAAATAAGCTAGCAAGAGCAAGGAATTTTTCTATATACAGAATCTGGCTTGTAGTAATGATTCAATAAATGTCGGCTATCATCAATTACTATTAAAACAATTTCTGCATCCTATAAACAACTCCAGATATTTCTTATCCAAACAGCAGGACTTTTTACAGCTCCCAAAAAGTAAAAGGAATCATTATTTATTAATTGGCCTCTGTTTTCCATATTATCTTGTTCTCTATGCCATATTACATATTTTTGCATGTAATTCTTGCAGTAATTTTACAAGGTATTGTATCAGTAAGAATAGGTTACATTATTATTCAATAACAAGCATTCCAGAAATCTAGGTGGCTTGAAACAACAAAGGTTTATTTCTCGCTCATGTTACATATTCATCATAGGTTGGCTGCTGACTCTACTCAGTGTTATCTTTGTTTTCACTCTTGGACTCAGAGTGACAAGGAAGCTACTTAGGAACATTGAGATTGTCATGACAGAGAGGGAAGAGAAAATGGTAAAGCACACACTAATTCCCAAAGCTTCTACCTGGAAATGCTACACATTACTTCTGTCTATATTTTATTGGATTAAGCAAATCAGAGGTCCTGCCTATGTTAATTGGGATGAATAATTGTGCCTAACGTGCCAAAAATGAGAAAATCAAATACTCATTAACAGTCCAGTCCTAATGACTGCTTTAGGAAGATGTTATTTATTATACTCAGTTTGCAGTTGAGGAAACTGAGATGAGGAAACTGAGGTTTTTGTTTTTTTTGTTTTTTTTAGATGCAGTCTCGCCCTGTCACCAGGCTGGAGTGTAGTGGTGAAATCTCAGCTCACTGCAACCTCTGCCTCCCGAGTTCAAGCGATTCTCCTGCCTCAGCCTCCCCAGTAGCTGGGACTACAGGTGCATACCACCACATTCAGCTAATTTTTGTATTTTTAGTAGAGATGGGGTTTCACCATGTTGTCCAGGATGGTCTCGATCTCTTGACCAACTGAGGTCTTTTGTTGGAGGAGGGAGGATCAGGCTTAATCCTTCAGGAACACAGGACACTGATGGCCCCTCCCTCAACTGTGACCTCCCTTTCCTTGGGCTTGCACAGCCAGTTCTTCTCAGGTCTTTCCTCTGACATCTCTGGCCACTCCTTAGTGCCCTCTATAGGCTCCTCCTCTTTTTCTGTCCCTTAACTGATAGTGTTCTAGGGGACTGCGTTTTAGTCTATTTCTATCTCACTTTATCTATTCTATCTGGGGAGTCTCATTACTCTCCTCTTTTTAGTTACCTTTATAGATTGATGTCTCCTACAATGACAGATTGAGCCCAGACCTAACCTCTGCACTACGGGAATATAGACTCAATCGTCTTTCAGACTCCGTTGCTTGGATGTTTTATAGAGATTGCAAACAACTCACTATTTTTGCAAAAATTAAAAATCCATGAACAGGTTTGGTAAATTCTACCTGGGGGTATCTGAGGAATGGAACTTTTCTTCAAGTTGGTCTGAAAGGCTGGGCATGGTGGCTCATGCATGTAATCCCAGCACTCTGGGAGGCCAAGACAGGAGGATTGCTTGAGCCCAGGAGTTCAAGACCAGCCTGGGCAACATTGGGAGACCCTCTTTCTACTAAAACAAAAACAAAAACAAAAACAAAAAAACAAATTGATCTCAAAGCTTGTCTTTTGGGTTATTATTAGAGTTATGCAATCATTTTTTCTCACTCTGGCTTTCTGTGAGAAGGGATTTTCTTTTTGCATGAATCTGGCCTTTCTCCACCCCTTCTCGGGGGAATTAAAGTACTTTTTCTGGTTGGTGAATTTGGAAACAATAACTAGGCACGCTCACTCAGATCCATTTTCCTTCTCTCTTGAGAGAGGTCTATCTGCAGAGAGCATTTGTTCCTCTCTGCTTACTCATTCCTTAGGTCTTACCTTGGCAGGTATCAGGTAAGGCAATTCAGGAATGCCTTGGACTGGTGGGCTTGTCTGTCCAGTTCTAGAGTTAGGTATTTGCAAGTCACTTGGCTAAGGGACCTAAGGCCATGTCCTCCAACTTGGCCTCTAGCAGTAATATAGTTGACACTTTGGTTTCTCTCTTTACTGTTATTTATTTTTTATTTTTTCCAAAACCTAGGCAGGGAAAAATGCTATTTATTTGGGGTTCACTGAATGCAGTTTAAAGACATAGGACTTGAGCTTCAGCACCTACAGTTTAATTTTTTAACTCGGGGATATGGCCAAACATTGTTTCTGTTATAGGATACAAATACCCACAAATATCTACCTTATATTCTTGATAAGCCCGAGAAAAATATGAAGTGCTGTATACATTGCAATTATGTGATAAATTATTGCACATAAATTATTATTTATGTAGCAATATTTATTGAGCACCTCTACTCCCAGTTTGGAGAACAGAAATAAAAGAAACAGTCTCTGCCATCAGGGTTTTATGGACTCTCGGGAAGCCAGGGAAGCAAAGGGATAATGACAATACTGTGTCATCACAAATAAAGAAACACAGATGAGGGTATGAGGTAGAGCATGGCAGAGGTTGAGTCCCACGGAAATCTTAAAGAAGATGATGCCTGAGCTAATTTTTGAAAGATGAGCGGAAGTCAGAGGGGTAGATTCAGGTGAGGGACAACACATAGTGATTAGAAAAACAGTGTGCACCTATGTATAACACAAGGCATTAGAAAAATTTTAAAAAAGCACTTTTGAGGAATGGCAGGGGTTTGGTTTGGCTGGACTGAGTGTGCCGGCTGGAGAGTGGCCAGACTTGGAGTTGGGGAGGTCAACAGTGGCTAGCCCACAACAGGCGCATTACTTTAGGCTAATGATTAGGCAATAAGGATGATATTGAGGAGAGGGATGGGCATACGGCCCCATGTGTATGTTGCTTCCTAATTAGCCTATGGCTGGGAGAAGAGGTGATAGTGGTGGGAGGGCCCAGCCGAGGCCTCTCTGTGCATGGAAGGCAGACAGGATCACCTTCAAGAAACAGGAAAGGGGCCCAGATTCCCCTCTATGCTGGCCAGTTTAGTCTCCTTCCTATTCTTTCCCTAAACTGGTGCCTTAAGCTGATGTATGACGTTGTGTAAAGGGCTTTGCGAAGGTGAGAAGGGCGGCTCTGAAACCACCTTCTGGTGGGGGGACATACGAGCCCAACAATGATTAGTGACTTGCCTGAGTTCCCAGGGAACATAATCTCATAGTTTTCTGGGTCACAGGGAATTTCCCTTCTGTATTTAGGGAATGCCATGTGGATTTTGGAGTAAGACTTCCTGGGTTTATATCCCAGCTCTCCTACTTACCAGCTGAGGGTTCTCAGGTATATTATTGTAGTCTTTGAGCCTCAAACTTTTCAGCCATAAATAGGTTTAGTAATAGTCTTAGCCTCATAGGGTTATTGTGAAGGTTAAATGGTTTAATATGTATAAGGCACTTAAAGCAATGCTTGGTCCTTAGTAAGACCTATGTAAGTGTTATCTATCATCATTACTTTATTATTTCAATTAGGCCAGCCCAGCTCCTAACCAGACCATTCTTTGTGGATAAAGCTGTATCTTGCCTGCTTTTCATGGTTTGAACAAAGAATTAGGACTCTTTAATTGGGTTTGGAAGAGTCTGTCAAAATCATGGATCTCCTCCCATCCCCTCTCTAATTTCCTCTTAGGAAGCCTGGTCAGTTTATTTCACACACATCGACTGGGCTATTCTCTGTGCCAGGCCCTACATCTTTTGGATGTATCTGTACAGAGATAAGTGAGACCCACTTGGTCTCTAACCTACAGGAACTTATGGCCTATAGGGGATGTTAGATTTGGAGGCAAATGGCTATAGCACAAAGTCCAAAGGAATGGATGCACACTTGAAGCACTGGAGGAAGTCCAGAGAAGAAAAGATTACATGTAGCTCAGGCATCATGGGAATCTTCCAAGAGAAAGTAGTCTCTGAACTGAGCCCTGAACAATGGGTAAGATACCAACAGGCCTGAGCATAGGGAAGGAAGGCAGAAGTACAGGCAGAATGTCCCAAACTTCCAAGCATCTCTTGGAGAATTCTGAGTAAGGAACTTCTCATGAAATCCTGTCCTATCTCCCTGACCCACTAAATCACCTTTGGGCATGTGCACACTGCTCCATCTCTGGATCCTATGTCTCTGTTCCAGTTTGTTTAAGCTTTTTGCAGTTTTATAGCATATCCCTACAAGAAAAGGGAAGATAGAAAGAAAGCTAATAATTTTGAGTGCCTACTATGGGTCACTTATATCACCTTATTTAATTTTACAATCCTGTAAAATTTTAATCCTGTAAAACCAGCATTATTATTATTTCACTTAAGAATAGAGGAAACCACAGCTCAGGAAAGTTAAGCAATTTGACCAAAGACACACAGTGAGCTTATTCATTAAATAATTATCTACTGAGTGTTAAGGGCAGAGGCAGGAATTGAACTCAGAGCACTTTGATTTTGAAGTCCTTATTCCTGTTAGTACAGTACAGTGCTGCTTCTTTGCCTAGATGGCCAGATCCCCAATGGCATCATCATTGCTATAGACCCCCTTCAACACCTACTAACCCACGTTAATTGAAAACATCCCTGGCCCTGTAAAGGTATCAAACAGGAAATTCAATTAATGATGTCAGTGTTGAATGTGTTTGAGGTCTGGGTTCCTTATCTAACTGCCAAACCTTCGTCTTTCTCCAGCGGACAGTCTCTGCTCCAATATTTGCTGTTATCTCTGTGTCCAGTTTTGCAGAGAGTTCTCAAGCCATAGCCCACAGAATTGCCAGGAACCCCAGAGACCACCTCGTCTGTGCCTGGTGTTTATGAAAAATGAGTCCAGACAGGGTAACTGCCCAGTCCAAGGCCACACAGTGATTTACAGCAGAGCTGGAATTAGAACCCTCATTTCGTCTGTGCCATTCAAAGCCATATTTGGTTCATTTTTCCAGGAAGCTCCCAGCTAGACCTGCAAAATATCTCAGGCTGTCGGTTTAAAAGGATTTTCTTTTTCACTCTTTTCACTGACTGAAGTCCTGAAACAGATTGGACCGAACAACTGAGCAGTAGGGAGGCAGAGTAAACAGAATGGGTCCTTGGTGCCCCCGGCGTGTCTGTTGTCTGCAGCAACTCCTCACTGCCTGTGAGGCTGACAGACACAGCTGCTCCTTCGCGGGGTTCTCAGACTCCTCCTGGTGTGCGAAGACACCCGCCGTAACAATGCTGGGACAGGAGAGCTGATGAGTGCCTATCCTGGGGAACCCCAAATTATCCTTGAATGCATATGTGTGCATGTGTACGAGGAATGTGTTGGGGGTGAACCTTCCCTCCCCACCACGGTAACAGTACAAATTTAAAATCCAAATAAGCAAGTCTTCATCTTCCCTGGCACCAACTAAACATCACACTCAAAGCCTGGAATCCTGCAAGAAGATCAAGATCAAGTGTAAGGGGCCCAGGTCCTGTCACTCGGTAGAAGCTGAATTACATTCCTAGCTCCAGATGCACGTAACCTTTTGGGGCCTTACATCATAAACCATAACCTCATAGGGGTCACTTCAATTCTCTGAGGTTTAGCTCCCCCAGCTGTAAAATTAGATGGCTAATGTCTGTTTTGTAGAGTTGTTTATAAAGAATCACCTAGAAACTAGGGGTTACTCTAAGTGGAATATGTTTTATAGAAGTATTTTATTTGTGCAGCAATCTGTTTAATTAAATTTTAATGACCTTAGTGGGGAGGTGCAACCTAAGGTTTATTTCCTTCCTATCCCCAACACACATCATAAATGATAGGTCCTCCCTTAGCACATGCTGTGCCCTCATGCAAGTTAGGAGAGTAGCCCTTTTGACCAATTGCAGCCTCAGGTGCAGGGCTTAGCAAGCTAAAGTGCTTTTCAGGGAAAGAAAAAAAAAGGTGTTAACACCTGCATGCAGTCATAGCCCCACACCCTGATGCATGGTTTGGAGAGCAGGCTGGATTTTAGGCCAACCTCATGTCTTCATCTGGGGACCTTTGTATGATGCACAAGCTGCAAGGTCATCTGTAGAAGCCCTATCCAAATACACTCACTCTCTCCTAGCTGTCAACTGCGTCACTCCCTGAGCTTACTAATGTGGCCTTTAAAGGCATTTGAGTTTGCAGCTTGGTTGGAGATTTTGAATTGTCAGGACAGATGATATCACACACTGAACATAGTGCCTGTGACACACAGTAGGCTCTGGATAATTATACTCATGGAGAAGAAGGAAGGGTTAAATGGAACAACCCATGTAACAATGCCCAATGCATAATTCAGTGAATGCTTATTGCATGAATGAATGAGCTCACAGGCTAGTTGTGAAAACAAGACATAAATCCCCTTGTGAAATGTTTAATAACAATAAAAATTTCAAATTATAGTTCAGTACAACAACTCAAGAGATGGCGCAAATCAGCATATGAGTGTCAAATTAATTGCCTGACCATAATTTTTATAGGAGTTCAGAAAGGTGGGGGAGATCAATTTGTGGACTTGGAATCAGAAATCCTGTATGGGTTCTTGATCATGCACTTATACATCATGTTCGTTCATTTGTCAAATGTTTTCCAAGCCTATATTAGTGCCAGCCAGTCTATAGATTTTGGGGCTATGGAGATGAACAATAAAAAGCCCATGACTGCAAGGATCTCACAGACTAGTGGGGATTGACAGACAGACAGTATAAACATGGTGCTAAACTAACATTGTGAGAACCTTGGGGAGGATTCAATGAGCTAATGCACACAGTAGGTATATCATAAATTGCAGCATTGTACGGGTGCTTCTGATTATCATCTGAACACATTTCTGAATAAATCTCCACAATTTAACATCTGCTAATTCTCTAAAGCACCCACCATTTCTTTTCCACCTTTCATCCCTCTGTATCTCTTCTCCTTCTTTTCTTAGTTCTGCCAGAAGCCTATAAAGGCATTGCGCTGGCTGGCTGCTGGCCCTTGGAAAATGGGTAGATGGCACACAAGACTGGAGAAAGAAGCTCGTAGTTGCAAGGGTAGGCACACACCGGCTTCGGTACTCACAGAGCTGCCATGGCGCCTTTTCTGAAGGATCCATCTTCACTGCAATCACTCTAATCACCGTGGCAACCGTGCACCCATAGACTCTGGCAACAATGCCAATGATAGTGAAGAGCGTTCTCTTAAACTTGCACTGGAGAGGGAGAAAACACACCTGTGAGAGAGGTAGCACATGGCTCTTAGTCCCCTCTCTCCCTCTCAGAAGGGCTGAGCCTGAAGCGATACCCTCATTTCATAGACGCCACAGCTGAACTCCATGGCCACAGGCGCTGCAGAAAATGCAATGGAAAGAGCGCAGGCACTGGGGCCAAGAAGTGTCAGAATCAAATCCTGACTTTGATACCTTGGAACAGGGGAGCTTAGGCACATTAGTTTGATTTCTTCAGGTCTCAGTTTCCCTATTTACAAAACAGACATAGTAATTCTTACCTCACAGGCTTATTGTGAAAATTAAATGAAAGTGGAAGAGACATTTAACAAGCAGTAGTTGAGTTTTGAGTCTGTCACCACATTAGATGCCTGTTAATTTTGTCTCCCCAGTACTCCTTCCTTTTATCTGGCAAAAGGACTTTCTTGCCGTTGGGGGACCACCTCTCCTCCAGTCCATGAAGTTTGGCCACAAGATTCATTCTGTGTCAGACTTGGTCAATCATAGTCCCTCTAGTAGAGATTAGGCACATGACTTAATCCAGGACAAGCTGAACATTTTATTTTATTTTTTCCATATGTTTGAGACTGGGAGAGATAATGTTTCTTTCCTGAGATAATAGAAGCCTAGAGCTGTTGGTGGCCATGACCCCTCCTGCTTCCTACAGGAAGAAAGCTTTCTGAAATGGGGGTATAGAAGGAGAGAGAGAGAGAGAGAGAGAGAGAATGAACAAGCAAGCAAGAGAGTTCACAGACGTGATGACATCATCAATAGAAAAGAACTGGCTTCACTCTGGACTGCCAAGTGACAAACGCCTCTGTCTTTGCCTTAATAAATTCCCTTTGCCGGGCTAATATCCAGAATCTACAATGAACTCAAACAAATTTACAAGAAAAAAACAAACAACCCCATCAAAAAGTGGGCGAAGGACATGAACAGACACTTCTCAAAAGAAGACATTTATGCAGCCAAAAAATACATGAAAAAATGCTCATCATCACTGGCCATCAGAGAAATGCAAATCAAAACCACTATGAGATATCATCTCACACCAGTTAGAATGGCAATCATTAAAAAGTCAGGAAACAACAGGTGCTGGAGAGGATGTGGAGAAATAGGAACACTTTTACACTGTTGGTGGGACTGTAAACTAGTTCAACCATTGTGGAAGTCAGTGTGGCGATTCCTCAGGGATCTAGAACTAGAAATACCATTTGACCCAGCCATCCCATTACTGGGTATATACCCAAATGACTATAAATCATGCTGCTATAAAGACACATGCGGCTATAAAGACGTATGTTTATTGCGGCATTATTCACAATAGCAAAGACTTGGAACCAACCCAAATGTCCAACAATGATAGACTGGATTAAGAAAATGTGGCATATATACACCATGGAATACTATGCAGCCATAAAAAATGATGAGTTCATGTCCTTTGTAGGGACATGGATGAAATTGGAAACCATCATTCTCAGTAAACTATGCAAGAACAAAAAACCAAACACCGCATATTCTCACTTATAGGTGGGAATTGAACAATGAGATCACATGGACACAGGAAGGGGAATATCACACTCTGGGGACTGTGGTGGGGTGGGGGGAGGGGGGAGGGATAGCATTGGGAGATATACCTAATGCTAGATGACGAGTTAGTGGGTGCAGCGCACCAGCATGGCACATGTATACATATGTAACTAACCTGCACAATGTGCACATGTACCCTAAAACTTAAAGTATAATAAAAAAAAAATAGAAAAAAAAATAAATAAATTCCCTTTGCCTTAAGCTGTTGATCTCGACCTCTCTCAAAGGAGGTGGGTGGGGTAGGGGGCAGCACTGGAGTAGGAAATGACTGTATTTCTACAAACAGCAAGAGAGAAAAGCAACAAGGTTTCTGAACAACTCTGGCTATGCCTGTAATTAAAATTACATCATTTTATCCTTCACATTCCCATTGTCTTTATACTAATATACGTTTAAAAAGGATCTGAGTCAATATCTTATTGCATGTTTCCCCTTGAGTGTGGATCTGAAGTGAATGTGGTGAATGTGTGCAGGGTGGTCCTGCCTCCTCTGTGGTTTATAAGTTACTCTAGGGCTTGGGATTTGTTGTTTCCATATTTTTTCTCCAGCCACTAACTATAATATTCATACTTTTATCCTTGTAGGGTGCTTTACAAATTATTTTCATCTGCATTATCTCATTTGATTCTCAGGGTATCTGCGAAGGGCTGGGATGACTATTCCTGCCTGTCCAGTTGAAAAACAGAAGCTCAGGTCCTAGTATCATGGCCCTGAAAGAGAAAGACATTTGCAGAGCTTGTGCAGTGATCACCCAGGTAATGTATGGTACAGAGCGTAGAAGGATCCCTAGATTTGGAGCCAGAAGGCTCAGGATTGAATCTTAACTCTTACTAGTTAGCTGTTGGTCTTTGAGCAAGTCACTCAATCTCTCTGGTTCTCAGTTTTACCATCTGTCAGTTGGGGAAATAGGGATGATCATTTCCCTTCAAGGATTCTTGTGAATATCACAGGAAATAACGTAAAATAAAGTGCTCTCTAAACTGTCAAGGGCAGCCCAACTATTTGAGGCTGATTTTTATCAGTGGTGATGTGATGGGTCCAGCTGGTAGTACAGACTCACAATAACTGACCGTGCACACCTCTTCTTAATTCCACATTCAGTGACACACTTTTTTGGTAACTTGAAATCAGCCAAGGGGAGGATATTTACACTCAGGAAATTGGCAAATGCCATGACTCAGGGCTTTATTGTTAATCAGGCTTGTTAACAACAATCAGAGTCAGTTGTTAACCAGTTGCCAGTGGTGGTGGGGTTGGCAGGAGAGAAGAAAATGATACCAATATTTAAGAACATAGATAGATAAATGAGCAAATCCTTAGAGCATTTCCTTTAGTCTTCACAGCTCCTGGGGCAGATAGTGATTCAATTTTTTAGATAAGGTAATTAAAACTTTGAGAGGTTCATAACTTGCTTAGAAAACACAATAAATGACAGGAGAGGTTCGAAGTCAGATCTCACATTCTCTCTGATTCCCATGCAGCAACCCAAAGGTACATCCACTAGCATCTGTTCTCTCCCTGATTTCCAACCCAGCAGTAGTGAGTAAGTTTCTATGACCACTTAACATTTAAGATCCCTATCTGGACTTCAATATACTAGTTTTGGAGTTGGAGAAACTAGCTCGGAAAAGATGGAGAGAAGTGCAATACATTGAGTTGGGCACAAGGGAATGAGTTGACTGTCTTGGCGATCTACAGTTCTGGGTCTCAATTGGATAAGTGCTTCGGGGCCCTGGGAATTAGGCAACACCATTAGGGTTGGGGTCATTTGAAGCACCTGGGCTTAGAGAAGGAGAAAGTCAAGAGCACCTGGGTCCAAGTTCCAGCTCTGCTACTTCACCTGTCTGGGGTTTAGCTTTCTCATCTGTCAAAGGGGGGCAATATCAAATCATGCCTGTTTTATCTCATTGAGTTTCTGTGGTAGCAGTGGGGAGCAAGATCCTGGAGGCCTCTGGAATCTGTTACACTATACTGATATCAGAAATTATCACGTGTCTCAGCCGAAAACCTTTCCTCCTGTTGCTAAGAGAGAAAGGACTGTCTGTTTCCCTTTCTTGCCATCTCTGGCTCTACACATCCCCAAACAGCTCTGTTTTCCTTTCTATTTTTATATCTTGAGTGCTTTATATGATGATGTCCTGCATGCTTCTAACTAGATGAAGGTGGCAGACAGGAAAAAATTGAAAAGACCTAAACAAAATGAAAATCTTTCCTGCTCGAAATGTTTCCTGCTTGAGAAAAAGACAGATGGGTTCAGGGGCTGGCATTACTAATGCAAGCATCCCAGATGCTGAGAGAAGCTTTTCATGGACTCAACAAACAGGCAACCCCTGCCTGGTCCTGGACAGGACAGAAGGGTTATAGGAGCACTCCAGAGGCTCCTTGAAGACCTGAAAGTAGAGAAATGTTGAACATGAAATTAATGGTCATTTAGCACCTTAGGTGCCTTCCTTGTCACATTTCATCCTCACAATACTTGTATGAGAATATATAGATTATTATTTATATTTTCCAGTTAAGGAAAAGGATACTCAGAGAGTGGTAGGAGAAACTCATACCCAGACCCCCAGGGTAGCTGTCCAGTGGCCTTTTTTTCCTAGCGGAACTACAGGCAGAGGGGAAGTTGCTGTGGTTGTGGAGGTCAGGGAACTTGAAAGGGACTTTTATTCAGCACTGTGGGACACTCTGATTGGATCCTCTCCTTCCACCCACGCCCCCTTCAGTACATTCTCTGCACAGCAGCTGGAGTGAGCTTTTACAAATAAAAATCACACTCTTTCCAATCCTGTAACAGTTACATCTCTAACCCCCAAAACTCCAAACTTAGCATCAAGTCAATTTCCCTTACTGATCTTTACCCATAAGACCAGCCTCCCTCTTCAACCTCTCCACCTCATCTCGTGTCACCAACTCATCACTCTTGCTACATTCTAGCCACACTTCCTTCCTTCTGCTATTCAAACACATTCAACCTGTTCCTTCTTCAGGGCCTTGGCTCTTGTTCCCTCTATTTCTAATGACTGGTTCCTTATCATACAGATCTCAGATTAGTGGTCATGTGCTTGGAGGCCTCTTTCCCAAATGCCCAGCCTGATGTCCTACCCTAGTCATTTTCTATCACATGTCGCCATCTACTTAAATTTTGGTCAATAGCGATTATTACTATCCAATAGTTTCTTGCTGATTTACTTGTTTATTTTCCGTCTTACTAAAGAGCAGGTTACAAGAGAATAAACATTACTTGTCTGTGTTCTTTTGAATGTTCTGCTCCTCTCCATAAAGTAGAGGTAGGCTCATAGTAAGCACACAAAAATATTTATTGATGAGTGAATTGTTACTGATATATAATTACCTCAGGAAGGGCAGACCTGCATCAGATGAAGGAAGAAAAACTCATGTTTTGCTATCACTTACCATGTGTCAAGCTCTGTGCTTGTCTCATGTGATTCTCACAATTATATGAGACATATGGTTCCCATTTTGTAGATGAAGAAATGGAAGCTCAATCATTTGGTCGTTTGATAAGACCACACAGCTACAACTGAAACCCTGGTCTGCCTGCTTCAGTGCCGACACACTTGATTGTGGGGTGTGCATAACATGTCTCAGGGGTTTATGTACCTGCAGAAGAGTGTGTGTCTGCTGCTGCAAAATCTTGCACCTGTGAACACCCCAAGAAGGAGGAGGCTGTGTAAAAGCACGTGCAGGCCAAGACCCTAGAGGCAGCACAGAGAGGGCTCTCCCCAGTAAATCACTTTTGCTTAACCTGAAGTCCATACTTCCCAGGGGAGCAGACACTGAGAACTGCAAACTGAAGACTGCAGAATGGCTGCAAGTTGTAGACCTCACTGTGACCGTAGCGGAGAAGGGAGTCTGCGAGTGGGTGCTGAGGTCCTTCCCCCTCAGAGCTCACATTCAGGCCAGGTCGGTCAGGCCGCGCCACCTCTTCCTGCAGCAGCATTCCGCGCTAGGTGGCGAAATGCTGAGGGGCTCCCCTATTCGGGGGAATGCGGTAGTGATGTATAAGGTATGAAAGATGTGGCCTGCAGAGAGCCGGCACTATCTCTACTGCTGCTGCTGCTGCTACTGCTGCTGTTGCTACCGCTGCCTCTGCTGCCACCGCCACTACTGCTGCCAGCGGAGCCGCTAGGAGTGAGCATCCCCTCTCCGGGATACCCAGCTCCGCGGCGTCTCCCGCGCGCCCTGGCCCCACACGGACCTGCCAGCCCCAGGGAACAAAAGCGGAGCCCGCTCGCCCTCTACTGCAGCCGGAGGATGAGTCGAGAGGGCTGAGCGGAGAGTGTGGTCCTCGGCGGCTGGAGGTAGGAGAATATGTTGCGCCCGCCCGCCGCGGCGTGAGAGGCTCGAGGTGGGCGCGCCGGGGTAGGGGCGGCCGCGGGCGCCTGTCCGTCTAGTGGGCGCTGCCCGGACCTGGCGAGGTGGTGGTCTGCAACACTGTGCCCGCACTGCCTACTGTGGGTCGGGCGCCGAGCTCTCGCGGCCGCGAGGGAGCCTCCTGGGTGGGAACTGGAGGCAGTGGGGGAAAAGTCTGGAGCCAGAAGCCAGGCAGCGGCTGCCGCGGCGGCTGTGGAGGGCTGCCTGCGGCACTTGGCGGCGCGCGTCTCACCGCGAAGAGCGGGAAGGCGGCGGCTGCAGTGTGCGCAAAGTTTTGGGTGGCGCGCAAAGGCGCAGGCGAGGGCCGCCGCACAGAGCCGCCCAAGTTGTGGCCGGAGCGCCAGGGCGACCCCTGGGAACCCCCCAAGCGGAATCCCCCGAGACAAGCGGCTCTTGCTCCCTGACACCCCAGTCGAGGCCGAGTTGACGCGCAGCCATTTAACCCTTCCTGTCCCGGGGAAACAACTTCATCCGCGTCGACGACTGGACTCTGGCTGGCTGGGCAGCGTCGAGACTTCCGGGGGGTTCAGTCCTGTGGTCTTGAGCATTTCCTCGCTCAGTCCGCGTTCTCTTCATTTCTTTTCTGTCCACTTATGTATCTAGAAACCAGGCAAGCTGGCCAGGGGTCTTACCCAAAGACTGTAATTTTAACCCTCCCGCCATCCGGACGCATGCTTTCTTTCTGCCCTCTCAGCTTGGCTCTTTGATGCTGCTTTGAAAAATGAGATGATTGATCAATTAGATTAGTGACCAATTAGGCATAACCTTGTAGGAAAATAATTATGCCCGGCTCTCTGAGCTTTCACTGATGATGAGGTGGGAATCCAGCCCAGGTGGGGTGTGGGGCGGGGCGGGGGGAGCTGTTCCGAAAAGATAGGGCTGATCAGGGAATTTCTGGGAATTTAAGATTAAAAAGATTCAAATATGTGGTGGTGGCAGAGGTTGTGGGGGTGCAGTAGGAGAGAGAGAATGTGTGTGTGTGTGCGTGTACCAATTTTTGCTGAGAAAATTAACCCTTGGCAGCGCAGTATGGGTGGACTTTGCAGGCAGCCTGTTTCGAACAGCTCAGAAAAGGTGTGTCCCCTTGCTTTCCAAGCCCCCTCCTTTCCTCTCTTTCAGAGGGGCTCTTGCCTGTAAATCGCCTTGCAGTGGCTTTGCTTCCGCTTTGGGAGGCTGAGTTCCAATGAATGCATTTTAGTTTGGTGTCTGAGGAATCGCGTCGTTGCAGACCGAGGTTCCTTACTGTGCCTTCCGAGAATGCACAATTCCCCTGATCGTGTTAAATACAGTGGTTATTAAATGGGTGCAAAAGGAAGACAATCTGTTTCCAGGGCTGGGAAGTTCTGCTGCAGAGTGGGGTTTCCTTTTGCTTTTGGAATGACTGGCGGGGTTTGTCACTGCAGTATTACAACACAGCCATATTAAAAAGGTCTTCAGAGCTTAGAGCCCTCCACCACTGCAGCCCCATCTTCCACACACTTCCCTGCCCAAATCCTTCTTGCAGGGGACATGTAGTGGATTTCATACCTGCACGATGTGCATTTGAACCGCTTTCTGTCTCTATTTTAAGCTTCTTCTATCTGCTTGTACGTTTGATGCTAGATAGTAGATTTCTGTTCAGATTCTGTTCAAAATCTAGAGGTGTTCCCAGGGCAGAGGGATTTTTGCAACAGGTCCTAGGTCTAGGTTTTCTAATAATAGATCTCCCTGGCATTTAGCGACGTGGGGCCCCAGTCTCTCCACCAGTGACCTGACAAGGGTTGGACCAAGAGATCTCTGAAATCCCCTGCAGTGCTGACATTAGCTGATTCTGAATTTTATGGCTTTTTCTTTTTCTGAGCTGAGCGGAAGGAGTAGCTGAGCAGTACATGCAATGTGACAGCAGCAGTGCCACCTCGCTCCCAGTGGAAAGGAATGGGGGCTCGCCAGGGCTTATTGGCAAATAGGGATTTCCCAGCTGGAAGACTGCCTGGTGATACTGGTGTGCAGGGACAACTGGGAGCCACAGGATTCACCCACCTCCCTCAAAATGAATGGCCACCATTCAGCACTCTCTCTTTGACAAGATTTTTTTTTTTCTTGAATTTGGACTCAGCTAGTTGCCTTACAGTGACCACATTTGTCGATCAGATTCTTGTGCTAGCAAAAGCCTTGCTCCTTTTTAAAAATGGAATCTTTTGTACATACCAGGAAGGGATGCAGGGTGAGAATATAGGGAGAGAGGAAAGAAGAGAGGGGAAGAGGCAAAGGAAGGAGTGGGTAGGGGGCAGAGCTAAGAGAAATAGAGAGACAGGGATAGCTTAAGTCTTCAAATACAACCAGACAGTGGGAAAGAGGAAGCAGAGACAGAGAACTCGGTGGGAGGTGGGGGTGGGGTGGGGAGGGTGGTGGTGAGGAGAAGGGAGAGATGCAGGAAGGGAAGGAAAAGCAGAGAGGGAAATACTAGCCCTAAGAGGGAGCGACCAGAGCCCGCATGAAGCAAGACCAGTCTTACCCCCGGCTTAGAAAAAATGTAAAGGAAAATCTCAAACTGCACAAGACACATTCCAGGTAGACTTGCAGCCTGGACTTAGCTTTGACATGATAAGACAATTATTTGTGAAATACACATTGTACCACAGAAAGTCACGAACTCTGTTTCTCCATTCATCCATGACTGGAGACTCCAGTTGTTGGTGTGCTGTTGGTGCTGGGAGGGGAGCTGTTTGCCTAGCAGACATGCTTTGTATAACCTGGAGAGTGTGCTCTTGCTTGGGTCAAGTTGGGTACTCCATTTGGACAGGCTGGGTTTCTCAACAACTTTGGAGGAGGTGTTTTTTTTGGCTTGTTTTCAGACCTGTCTTCCATCGAATGGACAACTTCTACAGTCATGTATTATTTATTTATTTATTTAACCTGGCGGGGGGGGAAATGAAAAATGAATAGTAAACACCCTTACATGCCACCCAGAAGTAGCAGTGATGACAAAATGATTTCAATTAATCTTCTCCTCTCCAGCCTCCTTGCCCCCATTCTGGCCCATCCTCAGAGCCTCCCAGCTCATCTCCTGGCCTCCAGTATGGGCCCTTCCACAGATGTGACACATCTTTCTAGAACATGGCTTTGATCGTGTTACTCCCAGATCAAAAACATAAAGTGCTCCCTATTGCCCAAGGCATACTGTTCAAATTCCTGACTATAGACTTCAAGGCCTTTCACCATCTGGCCGTCTTACTCCCTCCTCATGTTCCTGTGACACACAACACACACACATGCTCACACCGTACACACACACTACCCTCACACCCACACACCTACACACTTATGCACATACACACACACCTTCACACACAGAGTCACACACACCCTGACATACATGCGTACGCATTACATTCACACCACTCACACACAATTTCACACATTCATAAATACAAACACCCCCCACATGCACACAGCATCACACACAGCCTTCTATACATATACACAGCATTAGACATGCCTTCGCACACATATACACAGCATTACACCTACATCACTCACTACCATACTCACACATGCACACCTACCCACACACATCATATGCAGCCTCACACACACTCACATCTATGCACTTACATACAAACCCATACCACATATGAAATACATATCACATATGCTTTTCATACCTTTGCAGGTGCTACTTTCACTCCCTGTTTGGAGAATGTGTTCTATTCATTTGTCCTGTAGACTCTCCTCATGCATTAGGATCCATCTTAAAAGTGACATCCACTCAGAGGTCCCTTTCTCTCAGGAAGCTCGTGTTCCCTCAGTACTCTTTAAACGCCCCTCTTGAAGTGCTGTGTTACAAATCTCCACGTGTTCATCTCTCCCACTAGAGTGAAATTTCCTTGAAAGCAGGGGCTTACCCATTCCACTATTCAATCTCAGGGTATAACACAGTCCTCTGCACGAAAGCATATGATTGATGTTTAATGACTACATTCATTTTAAGAGCTTCTAAAGGATGATTAACATCTTTGACACCTTCTAAACATTTATTTTCTCTTATTCATTTTTGTTAACAATTCTGATACAAACTTTTTTTTTAGAAATTCAAACGATACGGAAGTGTATAAAATAAAAAGTGACAACCCCTTCCCCCACCCCACCTAAATACCTTCTGTGTTTAATACACATTACTAAACATTGGCATTGCTCCTTTACTTTACATAATATTTTCCTAACTAGATTATATGCAGGAAACTTGCAATATATATTCATGTACATCATCTTCATACCTTATACGATACTGTATGTGCAGGATGTGCCCAACGACTATGGAATAAATGAACAGAAACTTGTTCTGTTTATACTTAAATAACTAGGTAGTTGGGCTTATTTTTAAATAAGTAGAACACGAATACTAGTTGGGTTTAAATTTTAAATTACATTAAAAATTGTTTGCTTAATCTTCACAGTAGCCCGATGTGACTGGTGTTGTAATCCTTATTTTACAGATAAAGAAAGCTAGGCTCCAAGAGGTTACGTAAATTGGTCAGGTCAGAAAAAAAAAATAGTAGTGTCTAGATGGATTCAAACCCAGATCTCCTTCATTTTGTTGCCTCTCTTTTTTCCACTCTACCCTATTAGTGGATCTGTGAGCACCCAGAGGCAGGGCATCTAACTCGGCTTCATATGCCCTATATTTGCTCAGAGCTTAAGAGTTGATGGAGCCCTTTAGTCCACATCTTAACAGTTGCCCTTCCAATTAGGTGTCCTTGTCCTTTTGCAGATGAAAAACAGAGGCACACGTGATAAGCTAATGTGACCTGGCCAAGTTCCTAGAGCCAGGAAGAAATGGAAGGTGTTGAACTCAGGTCTTTGGGTCCAGGGCTCATTCTGTATCCTTAGATGTAAGAGTTGATCCCAGGAGGGAGCCAGGCACCTTCTGCTTTCACTTTAGTACAGTGACTGAATGGGGCAGACAGAAGCTGCTCTGAGGCGGCGGGGGGTTTGCTGACACTCATGTCTAGGGATGACAGCACTGTTTTCTGGGACAGTTTCGTTAAGAGATACTCTTTTCCCCAGTACTGTTCTTCTGCATCTCTTATTTGAATCAGAACCATGGAGAGAGTCTGTCTCTTGATACTTTGGTGAGCAGTTGTGGACATAGTTCCTAGTTCTGTAGGTGTGCTAGAAAACCTGATGACATGGTTAAAAACCTTGGTGTTGGGATAATTTGTCAGTGAGGCAGTGGTTACTGGAGGCCTCCAGAGCTTGACTTTGATAGCATCTGCCTCTGGGTAGGTAGTGGAATTACAACTCTCATTTATTGAGGGCTTGCTGTATGTCAGACACTGGGTTGAGCACACTACCTGTATTCTCTGGTTTCATCCTCCTAACGATCCTAGGAATAGTGTTATGACTCTTAGTTTATTCTCAGCTGGAACATGCCTGGCACAATAAAAATCAGTAAAATATTTGCTGAGTTTTTAATGAATAGAGAAGGAAACCAGGGATCAGAGACATTAAGTAACATGTCCTAGGCACAAGTTAGTGCATTTCAGAGCTTGGGTATAAACTCAAGTCTTTCTTACTGTGGAGACTGTTCTTGTTTTGAGTACTTGTGCTTCTTCTAAATTGATAATCCTGACCAAGTGACATAATAGAGCTTGAACTTGCAAAAGCTTTTGTCCAACTCTTTTATTTAAGGGAGAGGGACATTTACTATGTGCAAGGTATTGCTCTAAACACTTTAAATATATTAACTCATTTCATATTCACATTCCACAAATAAGGAATATGAGGCACAGCTTAAAAGTAGAGCTGGGATTTGAGCATGAGTAGCCTGTGCCCTTTACTACTTGGTTATATAAGATTCTGGGACCTGTGTAAGATCCTAGAATTCCTCAGCAGTAGAACCATCATCACCATCACTACAGTCGTCGTCATTGTTATTGCTGATGCTTTTGTAGCAGCTGTTTTAACTGTCTACCTTATACTTATGGGCACTTTTCATATGTTATTCTATCAATTCTCAAAACAATCCCGTATTTCCATGGAAAGGAACTGAGACTCAGTGATGTTAAATGAATGCTGAGAGTCACATGGCAAGTGAGAGAAGGACTGGGATTGGGACATTGTGTGTCTGGTCTCAACATCTGTTCTCATTTTCTTTCTTTAGACTCTTTTTTTCACTGATCCTTGTTGCTACTCTTAAAATTCAGCAAAGCATGAAATGATGAAATTTTTCTTGTGTGTGTGTTTTTTTTTCATTGTCAACCCTATGCACAGAAGGATAATTGTCTAAAAAGACATAGTATTTGCATTTCAGGGGCCTGAGTTTTTCTTCCATTCTACTATCAGGCATCAGAAGGGCTACCTGATGGTTCTGGGTATCTTTTTCAATTCCCTAGAAATGAAATAATATCTGCCTTGTTTTATAATACGGTGATCAGAATAGTAAAGTTGTGATCCTTGTGATTTGAACTCTCACTTTGAGAGTGAAAGGCACCTTGTGAAAGATAGAAGAGAATGTTTCTCAGATTGAAATAAACTGTCTTGGGCCACTGTGTAACACTAGCTGGTTTGGGCAAGGAGGTGATCATTACTTGGTGACATTTAGGCTCTTCCCTTGTTGGCAATAGTACAAGAATTCTATATAATTAATAGTTCTTCACTTGGGACTAAAAAAAAACCCCAGCCATATTGCAGAGGACAAGAGAAACAGTGACATCAGACAACCTTTTCATTTATTTAGCAAAGCACACATGATTCCCATCTCAAAGGGGCAGGCGGACTTAAATCAGAATGAATACCAAATAAAGAATTCATTTCTATTCATAGGCTTTTAATAAATAAAAACAATTTTTTTTTCTGAAATGAGCTCTGAGTCATAGGTGTTGAGGCTTTTTGTTTACTTAAAATGCAGAATACAGCTTCTTATTTCAAAATGACCTTTTTTTTTCTTTTTTTGGAAGCTTGAGCTTAGATCTTTAGTGACATTTTTTCTCCAAGCAAATATTTACAGCCAAGTTGGAAAGTGACAGGAAGGAGGGTTTAAAATGAAAATGTTACCAAGCTGAAGTTTTACATCTGAGTGCAACACATGGTGTCACCATGGACAAAGTACTAAGAACTCAAAATATTTGTCAATTTGTAGAATTTGAAGAAACCAAGCTGTTTTCATTTGTTAAGGTTAACTCTAAAAATCACATTTTGTGCGTGCATCATCATGGTGGCTATTTCCACTTCCTATATGCTTGGTTTGATTCTGGTCATGTGATATCAGCCATTTGCTTATGTTATTTTTTTTTTCCTGCTTCTCCATATGAGGGCGAACTGTTTCAGGGTTAATTCCCCATGTTCATTTCTACTTCCATACCTTCACTTATACAGTTTTTCCTGCCTGGCACTTCCTCTGTCTTCAACTATCCCCCAGATCCAATAGTCTCTTGAAACTGAGGTCAGGTTCTATGTCCCATATGAACTCTTCTTAGTTGACTTCACTCAATAATGACCAGCACTGACATTGGTTGTTTTTATCACTTTATCAACTTTTTCCAAATTGTTTAAATAATACAAATTAATTGTAAAAAATGAAAAAGTATAAAATGATATAAAGGTTAGTAAAAACCACTTCAAATTCTAGTTGTTATCTATAATTTGGTGACCATTCTTTCACTTATCTCTTTAGATGTATAACTACTAGCATATGTAGATGGATATAATTTTATATACTCTGCCTTGGTATGGATATAATTATACATATTCTGCTTTATTATGTAGGCAGCTTACTTTTTATCCGGGATATCTACTTTTTAATACAGCTTTTTTGCTTGTTTACAAACTGGTCTAACAATCCAGATGCCTTCTGTATTTTCTAAGTTCCTATAATCATTTGCAAATACATACATTCACACACACATATACATAGGCAGGAATTTTTGTCATTGGTTTAAATATGATATCATTATACATTTTTTGCATTTGTCACTTAAAACGCTATGGAAAACTATTCTCCCTGTCATCCAGCTCTCCTTGAGTCAAAGGGTTTAGATATGTTATTATTTTCAATGGTTGTATAGTTTTTAATGGAACAAGTATACCATGGATTTTTCCACCATTTTCCATCTGATAGGCATTGATTTTTATTCAGTAATTTTTATAAACAATACTGAAATAAGCATCCTTGAACATTTATCATTTTTAATGGATGATTTAACTTTTATGGGTAGATTCCCAAAAGTAGTATTTCTGAGTCCAAGTGTATGCACTTTTCAGTGTTTTAATAGATGATGCCATATTGTTTTCTAAAGAGAATGTAATAATTCACATTTCCATTAGTGTATATGAAGTAACATCTTCCCCATATCCTTGCCAGCAACATGTATTATCATTCTCTTTTACTTTTGCTAATTTGATAGGTGAGAAATATCTCATTGCTATTTTACTTTGTGTTTTCCTGATGTCTGCCAAGAAGGAGCATCTTTTCACATTTGTCGTGAAAAGATTTGAATTTGCTTTTAAGTGGACAGATAATTAATCATTTTGCCTATTTTTCTTTTAGATGATTCTTTTTCTTATCATTTTGTTCAGGCTTCTTTTACATTATAGATAGTCATTTTTTTCTTTCATCTACATTATATATGATTTTTCCTTCCCTAGAAGTTTAGTCTAATATTATAATGATCTCTTTATTTATGTGTGTTCAAAATAGACCAGGAGTTACTTGACAGTAGTGATGTGTGTGATTCATCTCCAGGACATTGTATTTAGGGCAAGGCTCAAAGGGGTTTAGGTACAGAATAAATGGTTCTAACCCTGACTATCCAAATGTATTTCATTTAACAATGGATTGTAGGAAATGATTTGTTTGTGATATCCAAATGTATTTCATTTAACAATGGATTGTAAGAAATAATTTGTGTATATGGCATCACATGGACTAAAATGTTTCAAATAAAAAAAGTTTCAAGATGACTAATGTTCTGAAATAATAATAATAATTACATACTTTTCTGCTTTTTAAAAGAGTATGACTCGAAATATCATAAACATCAATTATTATGCTGAGCTATATCAAGAATATTCTTAAGGACTATTTAGATACATGAGATTATTTGCCCCTATATGTATGAGTAGCTCCAGACATATGGATATATGGATTTTAAATTCTCATATCTTTATGTGTGGATTTAAAATTCTCATATCTATTTTTTATACTTTTGTCAACTCTCCTCACTGTCAGATTGTGTTATCATGTCTTGGTAATATCAGTTTATCTGCCTTTAAAAACTGTCCTGTATGTTGTCAAACTCTTGAACAGCAAAGGAAAAGAAAAGAGGTCCTCTTCTCTTTCTATTCATCTTTGTATTGCCTGTGGACTAATATACCAGGGACCATGCTTATTGGAAATGTGGATATGATAAGAGTCAGTAACCACCAAGTCTTGGCGTGGGTGCCATTCCTATGAATAAAGTGCATCAGCTTCCAGTGAAAATATAGCTTTGGCTACTTAGGGGTCTTTTTAGTTTCTTTCTTTGTTTACAACTATATTCTGGGAAAGTGAGGTTGCTGGACAAGTGAAGTGGTTGCATGCCATCTCAAGCAATTAGGATATAGGTCCTAATTAATTAACTGCATGTAACCAAGATTTTAAATAAAGTGGCTTAAGAGTGCATTTACAATGGTACAAATACATTTCTCAGTCTCATAAAAGTCTGAGTGTTTAGGGAATAAGCTCTAAGCTGTGAAATTGTGTAAGGTCTAAATTTATTCCAGCTTGTGTTCCTTCACCACTAGGACATGATCCATGATGGTGTGTCACCATATCCTTATTCTAACTGGATGACAAAAAGGAAGAAAAGAAGTCAGGAGAAGGCCTGCCCATTTCTTTTAAGGATATGATCAGAAGTTGCACCTGTAATTTTATTTTACATCCTTATAGGCCAGAACCCAGTCAACTGGCCACTTCTAACAGAAGGGAGACTAA
This sequence comes from Homo sapiens, assembly GCF_000001405.40. Classification (NCBI taxonomy): domain Eukaryota; kingdom Metazoa; phylum Chordata; class Mammalia; order Primates; family Hominidae; genus Homo; species Homo sapiens. The sequence continues at coordinate 58,240,214 of NC_000001.11, read as the reverse complement.
GGAATATTGTACTTATTCTGGATGGCTATGTGCCAGAATTGAGGTTCTATTTTTGGAATGTGGGAAGAATGGGTATTGGTGGACAGTGTGGCAGTACCAGCCACACCTACTCTCATCATTCTGGTGTTCCCTGGGTTTGCTTGTAAGATGGAGTGCAAGGCAGCAGTCGCCTACTTCTTTTGCACTCCACCTCCTACTGTTGTGTGGAGTGTAAAATAGTTACTCAGCAAAGACAACTTTACATTTAATGTTTCTCTTCTTGTTTTAATGATGGGGAAATGCAGGGAAGAGAATTTAGCTTGATAATGACTTGCGGCTCCGGGACTGGAAACCTTTGGTCTTCTTGGCTGATTTTTCTGTAGCTTAGTTCATGTGCTGTCTAGTCCTTTATTGCTCCACTCAGAGTTGGTTATTTTTATTTCTTATTTATTCCTCATTTTCAGCTCTGAGAGGTTCAGGTGTGGAGACCACATGCTTTGGAAACAGGTGTATTTGGACAACTCTGTGAGAGTCAAGGGGGAAAATCAGCCCCCTGCAAATAATATAAGCGAGCTGAAGGTTTGAGATTATGACCTCTTGCGAAAAGGGTCCCCTGGTAATCAACAGATTGCATCTCCTAGCTGAAGTTTCTGCACTCCATGGGCTCCTATTGACTTTCTAATTAACACAAAAGCATCCTTTTCCTTACTCCAGACAGGTTCTGGGATTGGGTTTGCTGTAGCCAAATAGCTGATTCTAACTTGTTCTCTGTTTCCAAAGCACAGTGTGATCTTATTCTTTTTAGGAAGTAGGATTTCAAGGGATGAAATTTAAACATGTCCTTTCTTCCTCCAAGTTAAAAACCAAATGGGAGGTAAATATTGGAGTTTGATAAACATGAAAACGTGCATCTTATTTCTGTTAAAATTTGATTGAAGAATTTAGGTTGTGCAGCTATTTCAGGCTTCCTAAGTCAGTCTGGGCTGGATAGCTCCAGGAAAGCAGTGAAGGAAGATCTTCTAAGGTTAGAAGCTCTGAAAGACAGAAGAAGAGGAGCTGTTGTATCATGTCAATTAGGTTCTTAGTTGCAGATGACAACATTTAAGCTGAAAGGGATTTATTAAGGGGTGTTGGGTAACCTACAGCATTCCGGGAGGGTCCTGGAAGCCAAGCTTGAATGTCAGGACAGATGGCCAATCATATCATGGTATTGCTGGAGTGGACACAACACTGTTGCTAGGGACAGACAGAAGGATCTTTATCGGAACTGCCCCAGAAGTTACTCTCTATGCATATGGTATATACCTTCTTTTAACATGCCCTTCTAAGCCTCATGTAAGTGTATCTGTTTAGTGTCCCCAGAGTTTTGTCTAGTCACTTCTGGTTCCCATGCAGAAGTATAAGAAAGCACAAAAATGGGGCTACAGTGATGCTGTGAGACCCTATAGCATGTCTGCTATAGCCATACAAATTTGCTCTCTTCCTGATTTCACCTAAAATATAAATGGATCCTTTTTCTTTGAAGAGAGAGGCTGGAAGTACCACTGCCCTGCTTTTCTTCTCTGGGCATTCGAGTGGAAGTAGGCTGTTATGCTCCCATTAAACATCACACATTTGTTTACTAATCCTCAGGGGGCACAATGGCAAACAGGATATCCCACACTTCTTAACATGGCATAAAAGTCCCTCCTTGGCTCGTAACCAATTTTTTTCCATCTCATTCCTTTGTAGTATTCTTTCTGTTTACTATCTGGTCCTCTCCTCTGGACTCCATCTATTCTGAACTACCTGGAAGTCACTTGAATATGCCCTGCTCTCCCATGTCTCTATTCTCTGTACCTGCTGTCCCTTCTCCCCCAATCATGAGCAAAATGCCCTTTGTGCCTTGCGTCATTTGACACATTTACCGTTCATGATGGAAGCATCATTTCCTCTGGGAAGCATTCTTTGTTACTTCCTGGACTGGGTGAGGTGACTTCCCTGGATGTAGTCAGAGCACCCAGCAACCACTTCTGTTTTTAACTTAGCACATAGAGACCCTTGGTCTATCCTACTGCTTGTATTACTTACTGTGAGCTTCCTGAGAGCATGGTTTATATCTTTGTATCCCGATAGCTAGCACAATTCCAGGTACTTACTGTTTGTGCAAATGAATACAATAATGAATTACGGGGTACTGCCAAAGGACATGGGCTTTGAAGTTAGAACTTGACTTTGCCACCGCATGGTTGTATAGCTTCAGACAAGTTAAACATAATAGTTCTAAGAAGGCTAAATATAATGAAATAATGCATGTGAAGTGCTTACCAAAGAACACATAGTAAACAATGAGTTGGCTATTATTTTGATTATGATAAGATTATCATGATTATCTCATGTGCTCAATATATGGTAATGATCACCAGTCTACTTTCTGGGCTAACATGTAAAGTGGTCATCTATGACATTTCTATTTGCTATAGAACCACACCAAAATATGCTGAAGCCACCAGTGGCTGCAGAAGAGGAATGAAAATAGACAGAAATTGATAGAAGTCACTATCAGGCAAAATCTGTTACGGAGCATTTCAGTGACAGTGTGAGAGAATGCCTCTTGACACCGGGTTTCAGTAGTTGTGCTGTCACCAGGATTTTATGAACAATTCTGCCTCCTTTACATACTTTTTTCTTTCCTTTAGAATTTTTTTTCACTTAAAAAAAAAGAAAAAAGAAAAAAATGACCCCCAAGGTGATACTGAAAACAGTGTCAAAACTTTAGTGAAGGTCAAACACTTTCCAAGGGATTGCCTGGAAGCACACATCCTGCTGTGTTCTCTCTGTGCCTGTGCAATGTTAACACAGTAGGAGCTTCAAGTTGATGTCAAAAATCAGCTTGGAATATGGCAAATGTCTTCTTCGTGCCAACCTCCCAGCATAGTGTCTTACATAGAGTACATGCATTTTCATCTACGTACGTGCAAAATACCTTCTTTTTCCTCTCTTTTCCCTGTGGATCCATACTTATTTCACTACATTCAATTCAGCAGACATTTATTGAACCCCTACTGTGTGCAAGGAACTCTACTGATTCCCTCCTTCTGTGCCTGTTTCTCCTCCTGCATTAACATTACTGCTTTATTAGAAGTAAAGGCTTGTGTTAAAGGAAACATGGGAGTAGCTGGCATCTACGGGAACAGCATAAGCATTTTTTATTTTGTGGAAATATTTCTTGTTATTGGGGTCTATATTGAAGTATAGTGGGAAGAGGGAGTATAAGGACCAAGGACCTAGTCCCAATTTGATGTATGATCTTGAGAATGTTGTTTAACTTCTCTGGGTTTCAGTTTCCAGCTGTTATCAAGAATCTTTCAGCCCCAATATATTATGACTCAAAAAACTGTAAAAGCAACGTAAAGTTTGGATTTGCTGTGTTAATGTGAAAAGTCTAGCGGATTTGGCATTAGGAGCTTGGTTTGAACTATAGCATTGACATTTGGCCTGTGTGGTGTTCGGTTTGAGCTTCAGCCTCCCAGGGCCGTTCTCTATAGAACTGGGACACTGCCTCTTGCTTTTCCTGCTGCTGAAGTTGTTGTGAAGCTTCAAAGAGATGATGCATGTGAAAGTGAATTATGAATAACAAAGGACTATTTATGCACACATATAATCTCTTATTTCTGTAAATAATCACCTTGATTTCACTATGTTATTCCAATGAGCACTTTTGCATTTGGCCTTCTGGGTTGTTTGAAGGAAACACTGCCTTTCAGTTTTTGTTTTTGTTTTTTGCCCTGAAGCAGTCACAGAGTATCTTAAGTAAGCGGGTGCTGTGTCCCCCATGCGTCTTTCCGATCGACACTCGTCTTGGGTCCCAGAGCCTGACTGAGTGCATAATGTTTTATTGGTTGGCCTGAAAGGAGACCATTTGTTCCCTGCTAAATGAGCTGTTACTGTGCGCCTCTGTCCCTCAGCACCTGGGGCTGTATGCATGGGAGAATCCAACCGTGGATCTCAGAAACCTTTTTGAAAGTTTATTGGAAGAAGGGAGAAAACATTTCTCTGCAGGTTGTTCCCTCCCTCCTTGGCCTTGGCTCATTAGTCAGAGCAGTACGAGGTAGGTGAGGAGGAGTGGGGGCGGGGCGGGGTGGGGCGGGGGGGCGGGCAGGGCTGCAGGCCAAGGGGTAGGCCCAGGATCCTTGAAGCCTTGCTCTCGTCTTTCTGCTGCCCCTGACCGACAGGTGGTCAATTAGCTCTAATTGGAAAGTGTATTGCTGCACATGGGCCGAGGTGGCTTGTGGAAGCATGCCTCCTGTAGCAGCTTTCCCTTATTTTGGCCCCAGGCCTGACCTGATCTTATGGCCTCCAAAAAGAAGACCTCTCTCTCTTTGGGATGTCAATGGCCTGCCTGGTCTAAGGGCCAAAGAGATGACTTCTCTCCAGACTGCAGTCACTGGGTCTCCTGAATAAGGACCAAGCTGCCCAATTAGCCCTTTATCTGGGTGCCTGGTTGATTTTGCAGTTTGGTTCACTGAGGATGATGCTGTTGTTATATCTGTGCCAGATGTGGGTCATCTCAGTCCTGGGTCTCTTGTGATACCCTGTTGATACAGGATGATTTCAAAGTGCAAGAGAGAGAAACCAAGAGAGATCATTTTGCCATAATTGCTTCCTTCACCCCTCCCTCTATATATACCCACACACACTCTTTACATTAGAGACAAATTGAATTAATGATATAACCAAAACTAGGGTTCAGGGCTCCCAGTCTAAAAGAGAATGTGTATCTGGCTCTCACATTGGTAGAACTTTGTTCCCTTATCTTTTTACCCTCATAGCCCAGGTGCTTAGAAAATTCTTGTGAAATAAATACATAACAGCCTCAAAATAGGTTGTTTTCATGGTTCAGCAATTGAGTGCTGCATTCAGATCCTAGTTCCACCTCTTACCAAATATCTGACCTTCAACAAGCTACTGAACATCTTCAAATTCCAGTTTCCATTGCTGTAAAATGGGGATGAGAATAATCAGACTTCCTTCACAGGATGCCTGTGGGCATTAAAGGAGATAAGCATTTGGCTCAGAGCTCAGAGTAATATTTCATTAAATGTTAGTATTTGCCATTTCTAATGAGCTACCTAACTCTCCACCCATCACACAGATGAAGATGCTGAGGCAGGGTGTGTGGCGAGGGGCCGGATTAACTTGTCCAGTATTACACTAATTAGAGACAAGGCCACGAATAGATTCTAATCTTTATTTTCTTCCCAGTTCACTGTTATTCATGTCTGAGAAGCAAGTCTATCCTGTACTTTTCCTTCAACCAGATAAATACCTGTCTTTCTCTGTTTTCTCTTATCCAGTTCCTCCAGACCTTGTACCTACAGAATCTAGGAATCCACATATATGAGGCTACATAAAGGTTGTAGGCTCTGGGTGTCACTTCCTCCGGCTCAAGCCTTCAATGGCTCTCCATTGCCTCAATATGAAGCATTATCCCTTCATGATCTGGCCCAGGAAGTCTGATCCTAGGGAACCACTGGCAGTTTCCTATGTGTGCCCTGCTCTCGTTCACTTCTGAGCCTTTGATATCCTGGGACAGGGTTTGTTGAGTGAATGGTGGTGAGTGACTTAGAGCCCTTCCAGCTTTCCAGGGCTGTGATTCTAGCATTCCTAGGGGAATAGATAGGTGGGCCCAGCAGGAGGAGGGCCCACTCCTTCCACGCTGCCAGCCCCCTGCCTTGTCCACCCTTGTCCTTCTCCTGATGGGTGAGCACATTGCCTGCTGGGAAGGTATTTCTGCCCCGCATGGCTGTTTCCCACTCAGTGTGAAATGTCATTTTTGTGGGGCTCTCTTGCTCTGCCTCTGAGCATCCTGCATTTTTCCCCTCATGTCACCTACTGCAAGGTATGCCAGTGCCTGTTTACCTGTCTGGGAGTGCCAGAAGGCAAGATCATATCTGTTTTTCTCCCTATTGTAGCTCCAGTCCTTGGCAGTCAATAATCGATAGATATTTGCTAAATGAATGAAAGAATGAATGAATTCAGGATTGGATCAGTGTCACGGAAGCAGACAAGCATGAGTTAGGAAAAGAACGTGTGGTCTCAAGTCCTGGTATATCTGACATCTCTAGCTCAGCTGATAGTAAACTTTGGGCCTAGCCTTTATTTTTCTCATTATGTTTAAAACCCAACAGTCACCCAATAGTATAATTTCCTAAGTGGTTTCATTTCAGCTCTGCTAATTGAAGAGAACTGAGCTCTTTTTGAAGGCTGACTTTGTGTGTGGCTGTCACTGGTGAGAGTCGAGACTGGTTGTCAATCACTGACAATAGCTTGCCGTTCTGGAATAATTTAAGTTTAGGTCTTTCTTTCACTCAGGCGTTCATACTCTGTTATATGTTTTCATACTGAGCTGAGAACAATCTGGGGTGAGAAACTGTCATGTGTTCTAGGAGCTGAAATGGAGATTTCTTTTTTGATTTCAAATTCTTATGGTCTGTGGCTCAGAGTAGCTTGAAGGGAAGATCAGATTTTGGAGTCAGACCTTCTGGACTCCAGGTTTGAATCCTTTGCTTTCCCACCTGCCTTGCTAGCCAGGTGACCTTGACACAGTTTACTCAGTTTCTGAACCTATTTCCTTATACAATTACAGGGGATGTAAATACTTTGTATTGGAGATTATCATGAGAATTAGAGAGAGAATGAAAAGACCTGGGTAAGGGCAGACCCTGGTAACAGCAGCAGTCCTCACCAGCTCCTCGCACTGCAGGCAGTTTCCTCAGGCATCTCATTGTAGACAGCACTCCAAAGGGGCTCCATATGGTGATCGGAGGGCCCTGGGGAGCAAGCAGACCTGGGTTCAAATCCTAGCCCTGCTACTTCACTTACCATCTGGGAGACTGCATAAATCACATGCTTCTAGTATTCCCTTACTATGAATTGGGGATAATGATACCTACTCATCAAGTTGTTATGGAGATTGAAATTATGTGAACTATCAGCATAATCAATGCTCAATAAATGTTATTTCCTTTCTCCTCCTCCTCTCTACATTTCAATATACTTAATTTACATTAGGAGATTGGGGAGAAAAAGAGGTGATTAAGAAAATGCTCCCTACTTTCTGCTTCACATTAAAGAGCAAGCATATAAGCATTGGCACAGTATTCTGAATCACACCTATCTGGCACTTGTTCATTTATTCAACAGATATTTATTGAGTCTCTACTATGTGCTACATAGAGTTCTAGGCACTGAGATACAGGAAAGAAGAAAACAGTGAGTGTGTTCAGGTGGCACTAACAACCTGCTTGGAGAAATAGATAATAAATAGATAACATAGTGTCAGCAATAGTTAACAAATGGGAAGAGAGAAAAGCAGGGAACAAAGACAGAGTCTGCTATTTATATGTGAATGGTCAGGGATGGTTGCTCCGAGAAGGTGATATTTGATTGAACAGAGCCTTTGTTCTTGCTGTTTTCTCTACCTGCGATGCCACCACTGTCCCTTGTCACTCTCTATCAGCAAATCTCCTGTCATCAAGACTCCACTCAAACATCACCATCTCCGAGTGCCTTTTCTGCCCACCTTTTGAGACCGAGTAAGTCTCTTCTTCCTCTGCTCCCACAATCCCTTTTACTGTCAATATCTTCCATGTTTAACATCCTTCTCCCTCCTTCTTTCTTTGAGCTTCAGTTTCAGGCACAGTGCTAGGCACAGAATTCGTTTGTCAAACTGTGTGTGTGTGTGTGTGTGTGTGTGTGTGTGTGTGTGTGTGTGTGTATTCACTCAGATGTCAGCCCATCCTGACCACATTTGGGGATAGTGGGCAGGTAACCTCAGAGCTGGTCCTGGGGAAGTCTACTCAGCTCTGAGATGTGTACTTTGTCTTCAGAAATGTAGGGCACTATTTCCCATGAGTTAGGCATGCTGAAGGAAGACCACTTCTAGCTCCATGGCATGGGCAGTTCCATCCAAGTTCAGCACTGAGAACTATTAGGCACGGTCTCTTCTCATATTTCCAGAGCTCTTTAATCATTTTTGCCTTTTAGAAGCTACGTGTCTTTGGGAAGATTATTTAATCTTTGTAGACCTGTCAGGTATTTTGGCTTTTGGTTGGAATTGCGACAACTGAACATGCTGTTTCCTGAACCTCCTACTGGTCAGAAGCCGTGAGTGACTGATATTGGTGTTGATTAGTTAAAAAACAGAAAAACAAAATAGCACAAAATAGTTTATGGGAAAGAGCATGGGTTTAGAGTTAGACAAACATGGATTTGAATCTAAACTCTGCCTCTTGCTATTATTTTTACCTGTAGCAAGTTACTTAATCTCTGTGAATCTGAATTTTCCCATATGTAAATTGGAATAATGGGTACCAGTATCACTGGCTGTTATGAAGACCAAGTGAGAAAATGTGCAGCTAGTACATAATTAAATTTGAACTTTGGAGACTATACTCCAACTGTCCCCACTTGGTTATGTTCCAATCAAGAACCCTGAGTTTATTGTCAGTGTACTGTTACTCAGACAGGATAGTCATCATGTAGCACAAAGCAAATCCTGTTTCTATACTTGTAGTTTGCTCTCACTCAGTGTCATAATCATTACTATACAGTGTAGAATGTTATTATGTAGCATAGATGTGGGGTCTCTAGCCCACAGCTCTGTACCTTTGTCTAGCACTCCTGTCCTCATACCTTAGTGGCCTGTCCATCAGCATGTTTCTCATCTACTTTGCTTGTCCAGTCCACTGTGGTCCTCCCTTGCCCTCTCCCTTATGTGGCAGAGTGGAACCAGCTGTCCTGAGACTTGAGTTCAACATCTGGTTCGCCCATTTGCATGTTTGTGGTCTGAGTCCAAGTCATTTCCCTTTGCTGAGTCTCAAGTTCATTGTCTTTGAAACAGTCCTGCTCTGCTCTGCCTATGATAGAATGTTTGGGTAATAAGCTTAAAATTAGAATATTTTAGGGCTATATCTGAGTTGGGGTATAGCTGAAAGAGCTCTAAGTTTCATTTCTAGCTCTACCACTTATCAGTGGTGATCCTGGCTAATTCACTCACTCACACTCTCTCGACTCAGTTTCCTCATATATACAATAAAGATAACAATAATGACAACTAATGCTTCTTGAATTTTACTATGTGCCAGGCATTCTTTTAAGTACTTTACATTTGTTAACTAATTTAGTCCTCACAATAATCTTATGAAGTTGGCACTATAATCGTCCCCATTGCAAAGTGAAGATGCATAGCCACAGTGTGGTTAAGCAACTTGCTTCATTAATAAGTGTCACATTTAATAAGAGGCAGAGGTGCAATTCAGAATCCGTCTGTCTGGCTCCAGAACTCACGGCCTTAACCATCATGCCATACTGCCAACCATGGTGCTGTAATTCCTACCTTGCAGAGCTGTTGGGAGGCTTAGAGAGACTAAGTAGACAGTGTCTGTCAATTGTGGATGTTCAACCTGTGTTACACCTTTATTAAGCTTAGCACAACCTAGGATTAATAAATGCTTTTACTTTGTTGCTGCATTTGGTCATATGTCTGCTTCTGACGAAGCAGTGATTTTTCAGGACCAGATATTTTTCTGGAGCTGTTGTTTTTCTACAAACCTGAGATGTCATGAGTAATATACCAGGGGCTTCTACTTCTAAGGAATCCTTGTAAGAGGGTGCCCCTTTGTCCTTTGTATCAGTTCTTTGTTAGTGGTCAAGCCAGCTGACTGTCGTTCAATAAGGACTTGGGCTTTGTTGTAGAGGTGGGTTTTTTCTAAGCACAAGGAAGGCAGGGTCAGGTCTGCAATTTTCTGTGGCTCCAGGAACAAATACTCCTCCTGCTCCTCTAAGCCTGGGAGTCTCGAGAGATGTGGAGATTGGTGATGACCTCCTGCCTGGGTGGCTATTACACACAAAGCTGAGAGCAGTTTTTAAAGTCTTCTCACCATTTTGCTCTCTCTTTAAAAATTAAAGGCCCGACACCAAGGTGTTTTATTCCCAGACCAGCTGGCCTTTAGGAGGATGGATTGGAAGTGAGAATATCTGATGACTTCCTTCCTAACCTCAGTGGTTTTCAAGGATGGGAAAGGCCACAGGGAAGGAAGGTCACCTTGTTCTTTTTTTCAACTTAATGAAAAAGGAATGAAACATCAGTCTTGATGACTGAGTTCCATAGTAAGGGAGCCATGGAAAGGACGTAGGAGCAATGGCGTGATGTAGGGGTTAAGACTCAGTGAGACTGGGAGGTTGCACAGTCTGCATGGCATACTGGAATGAGCACTGGACTGGGAGCAAAGAGACCTGAGTTCTCATCTCAGATCTGCCACTATCTGTCTGTGTGGTCCTGAGTCAGTTACTGACCCTTGTGAAGATGTTACATTCCATGTTTAGTATTCAGGCAATATAGTGGAGTGGTTAAGAGCAAGCTTTGTTGTGAATTTTTAGTCGTACTGCTTCCCCCTTGGGTAACTTAGTTACTCTTCTCCAGGAGGCTCAGCTTTCACATCTGTAAAATTAAAAGCTTGGAGGCCAGGCCTGTGCTTAGCCAGTGCTTTGCCAGTGCTTCAAATGCCCCCCATGACCCCTCTGCAAGTACGTTCTCTCCTTCTTTGCCTTGGTACTCTCTTATTCCTCCTTTAGAATTTAGTACTAACTTCCCTTTGGGTGGGAAACCTTCCCGATGCCCCCCATTGATTGAGATGCCCTGTATTCCCATCACCCCCAGTGACTTCACTTGTCATTACACTTATCACTCTGTGAGGTCCTTGAGGGCCTAGGTATGGTTCCTCTCCAGTGCCTCAGAGTCCTACACAGGACCTGGTTCCAAGATGCAGTCTCCAAATGCTTGCTAATGGAGTGAATGCATCTCTTCCCAGGTCTAAAATTCTGTGCTTCTAAGTGTATTTGCCTTTACTCGTACCTATTTTTCAAAATGCACGTAAGAGATACTGTTTTCTTCTTTCACAAAATGGTAACAATTTTAACTTTTAGGCCAAGCATGGTGGCTCAGGCTTATAATCTCAGCATTTTGGGAGTCCAAGGCTGGAGAATGCCTTGAGACCAGAAGTTTGAGACCAACCTGGGATACATAGTGAGACCCTGTCTCTAAAAGAAAAAAAAGAGTAATAATCAGGTATGGTGGTATGCACTTGTAGTACCAGGTACCGAGGAGGCTGAGGCAGGAGGATCAATTGAGCCTGGGAGTTCAAGGTTGCAGTGAGTTATGATCACACCACTGCATGGGTGATCTGCCCCAGGTGGGACAGGGGCTTCGGGCTGGTGGAGCATGTGCTGTGACAGGACAGCATCCTCAGTCAATCTAGCAGCATATTTGATTGCATTTTCTACACACTACAGCTGTTGTTAGGTTGCCTGCGGATGCTCTGGGCCTCTGTCCTGCTGGTGCTGAGCTCCCTGGTGTCTCTTGCTGGTTATGTCTACCTGGACTGGATCCTGTTCTTTGTGCTCTATGATTTCTGTCTTGTTTGCATAACCACCTATGCCATCAACGTGGGCCTGATGTGGCTCAGTTTCCAGAAGGTCCAAGAACCCCAGGGCAAGGCTAAGAGGTACTGAGCCCTCACCCCAAGCCAGGCTGGCCTCATTTGCTTTGCTTTGGCATGTGAACCTCGCACAAGGGGGCATATCTGGGTCCCAAGAAAGCCCTAGATGCAGGGCTTCCTAGAGTCCCCCCTCCCCCTGCCATATCCACACACGATAATGGACCAAGTGTACCATACACTTGCTCTTTTTTCCACCCAGTGCCTCTGACTCTGTCCCCAAAGGCTGGTCTCCAAAGTTCTTGCCATTGCCCAGGGAGGGAAGGTTCTGAGCAATAAAATTTCTTAAATAATAATAGAAAAGCAAGATTACCCTTTCCCCTTACCCCCCCAAAAAGCAATTACAATTCTTTATGTGAATATAGAAATTCATGCTTGATAAAATATTTTCCACATTTATTACCTAACATCTACTGCCTAATGGCTTATCAGCATTCGGTTTTAAAAATAATCTAAGGCCACTGTTGGATCTCATCCAACTAGATTTCGTGTTTGACTTACTTGGAACTATCTCCAGGTTGTGCACTCTTGCCTTGAACCGACTATACTGCACAGGGCTACTGCTCCATCTCTTACTCCATGTGGTCTTTTTCATCTCGGATACCAAGCTCTGAGCTATCACTGACTCCCAGATAATGGACCAAGTCTTCTGAAACCAGTTAGGCTATGGGCTTACCCTCGCCTCAGGGAGTCCACTTTCTTGGTCTGTTTTTAAAGCAACGATGTCTACATCAGGTATGTGATCTCCAAATTTACAGCCTCATAGAGAGCTTGCTGTTAACAGAGTTGTCAGCAGAGGGGGGAAATGCAAAATTGTCCAACAGAAATAAATCTCAGAAACTGTTTTGTCAGGCCATCCAAGCATTATACATTTGCTGCTGCATGCAGAATACACAGGAGAGGAGGGAAGAGAAGGGGGAGAAACAGTGAGTGGAAGAGCTGAGACCGGCTTACACTGTGGGCAAATCAAAGCTCTCTTCTCCCTCCATGACCTACTTCTCCCTGCCTTCCTGGAGGCCTTATGTGAGGTATGTATGGTGTCTTTTCCTTCTTGGTCTATTGTCTCTCCCCTAACTTTCGTGACTTTCTTATTGTAGCTTTGGCACCTGATGAGCTACATGCTAGAGGAGAACAAAGAAACCTCAGAGTGCTGTGGGTGTGGGGCTGGAGGAGAGTGCTGGACACACAGCCTGAATCCTAGTAAGTAGGTCTATCTCAACTTCACATCATTTTATTAAGGCTCCCCTTTGCTACTTGAATCTGTTTCTAGACTCTGCTTAAATTTTAAATATGCTATTCCTCTGCCTGGAATGCCTCGCTCAACCAAATTTCCTCCAGTCTTCAATGCCCACTGGAGTTTTGCTTCCTCCATTCAGCCTCTCCAGACAAATCCAGCATTTTGCAACCTCTCCACTCCCTGATCTTGGGCAACCTTTGTGATTGGAATCCTAGAGTTGGTTATTTGGCTCTGTTGCCTCCCATTTCCTTCTTTGAACCTTTCTTCTGTGTGTATTTCAGATCTCTTCCAGGAGATTCCAAAGTTGTTGAAGGAAGAACAAACCTTTCCCAGATATTTCTGCGTTTGAAAATAATTCTACATTTAGCCAGCTCTACTGTCTTGGGCAGTCAGTTCAGAAACTCTGAGCCACAGTTTCCTCCTCTATAAAGTGGGATAATAATATCTGCCTTACAGAGTGCTTTCGAGAGTTAAATGAGTTAATATAACTAGCATTGAGGGTAATGCCTGGTACTTAATGGCAATCAATAAATATTCTCAATAAACACTGGGTTCCTCCGGAAGACATTGGTGGACACTGTGCCAGAGATTCAACAAAGGATGACACTGTTAAGTTCTGTGGGGTCAGATTGCCTGGGTTCAAATCCAAAACCTATCGCTCTGTGCTTAGAGTAAGCTATTTCACCTCCCTGAACATTAATTTCCTCATCTGTAAAATAAGAATTATTATAGAACCTACCTCCTAAGGATTATACAAAAGACTACATGGAAAGCATTTGGCAAAGTGTCTTGTACTGAGAAATCAAACATTCAATAAATGTCAGCTACTTTTGAGGAGGTGGATGATATTTTTCTCTGTATTCTTAACAGTACCATTTCATTCCAGCTGCTCTGATGAGAGATCTGTAGCTACTCTGTAGATTCATGTCACACCTTTGATGGGTCAAATGAATGCAAGAAGAACCCAAGACTTGGCTTCCTACACACCCACCTCGAGCCCTGCTTCTGTGCCTTCCTAACTTTGTGGCTTTGATAAAGTGAACCTCTCTGAGTTTTTTTTTTTTTAATCATCTGGGAGATGGGATAGTAATGTCTACCTTTAAGGGCTGAAAAAAAACTAGTGCCATAACATGCGAAAGCACTTTTTAAACTAAAAAGTGTGCTACAAAGGATATTACATATCTGTTGTTATTATTCGTATATAATCAGCCAACCAATATTTGTATAGCATCTCTTCCATGCCACACTGAGCTGGGTCTGAGGAAAGCCCCAACATATTATGAAACAAAATAGCTGTGGCTGATGGAGATACCATGACTTGGAGATGGCCAGAGCTAGAATTCCAGTTGCTGGCAGAGCCAGAGGTATCCCAGAGTGGTTCAGGCTCAACACAATTAAGAGCTGGAGATGAGCAGTTAGGCCAAATCCTGGCTCAAGCTCCCTTGTGAATTTAGCCAAGCAACATCATCTGTCTGAGCCTCAGGTTTTTTTTTTTTTTTTTTTTTAATACTAAGTTTTAGGGTACATGTGCACAACGTGCAGGTTAGTTACATATGTATACATGTGCCATGTTGGTGTGCTGCACCCATTAACTTGTCATGTAACATTAGGTCTATCTCCTAATGCTATCCCTCCCCCCTCCCCCCACCCCACAACAGGCCCGGTGTGTGATGTTCCCCTTCCTGTGTCCATGTGTTCTCATTGTTCAATTCCCACCTATGAGTGAGAACATGGGTGTTTGGTTTTTTGTCCTTGCGATAGTTTGCTGAGAATGATGGTTTCCAGCTTCATCCATGTCCCTACAAAGGATATGAACTCATCCTTTTTTATGGCTGCATAGTATTCCCTGATGTATACATGCCACATTTTCTTTATCCAGTCTATCATTGTTGGACATTTGGGTTGGTTCCAAGTCTTTGCTATTGTGAATAGTGCCGCAATAAACATACGTGTGCATGTGTCTTTATAGCAGCATGATTTATAATCCTTTGGGTATATACCCAGTAATGGGATGGCTGGGTCAAATGGTATTTCTAGTTCTAGATCCCTGAGGAATCGCCACACTGACTTCCACAATGGTTGAACTAGTTTACAGTCCCACCAACAGTGTAAAAGTGTTCCTATTTCTCCACATCCTCTTCAGCACCTGTAGTTTCCTGACTTTTTAATGATTGCCATTCTAACTGGTGTGAGATGGTATCTCATTGTGGTTTTGATTTGCATTTCTCTGATGGCCAGTGATGATGAGCATTTTTTCATGTGTCTTTTGGCTGCATAAATGTCTTCTTTTGCGAAGTGTCTGTTCATATCCTTCGCCCACTTTTTGATGGGGTTGTTTGTTTTTTTCTTGTAAATTTGTTTGAGTTCATTGTAGATTCTGGATATTAGCCCTTTGTCAGATGAGTAGATTGCAAAAATTTTCTCCCATTCTGTAGGTTGTCTGTTCACTCTGATGGTAGTTTCTTTTGCTGTGCAGAAGCTCTTTAGTTTAATTAGATCCGATTTGTCAATTTTGGCTTTTGTTGCCATTGCTTTTGGTGTTTTAGACATGAAGTCCTTGCCCATGCCTATGTCCTGAATGGTATTGCCTAGGTTTTCTTCTAGGGTTTTTATGGTTTTAGGTCTAACATTTAAGTCTTTAATCCATCTTGAATTAATTTTTGTGTAAGGTGTAAGGAAGGGATCCAGTTTCAGCTTTCTACATATGGCTAGCCAGTTTTCCCAGCACCATTTATTAAATAGGGAGCCTCAGGTTTTAAAAAATCTACTAAATGGGGATTAACAAATCATGTCTTGCCCCCTTTTTGAGGTTCCTGTGAGGGTCAAATGAGATGATAATGTTAAATTTTTGGGAACACTGTGGCTCAGAACATGTCCCGTGGCATTTCTTGGTGTCCCCACTAGTCTACAAGATCTTGGAAGAGATTGATAGTTGCCTATATTTTCTCAATGCTTACAATATTACTATCTACTCAGAAGATGCTCAATAACTGGAAATGGAGAAATAAAGCATTGTTGCTGTTCATCTTATCAATAAGCATCATTGTTTTCACCCCCTAAATTCCCTGCCAAAAAAGTGCTGTTCCTTTAGTGAGGTTGCCTTTAAGCTTTACTCATTGAGGCTACTGCTACTGCTACTACTTGTTACTGCTTATTAAATACCTGCTACATTTAAGCTCTTGTGCTAGACACTTAATATGAATTGTCTTTAGCACTCCTAGCACTTCTGTGTGGTGGATGTGGAACCTAGGCTCAGACAACCTAGGGGAAACTTGCTCAAGGACAAACATCCTATAATTGGAAGAGCAAGGATTTGAACCTGGTTTGTCTGACTGCAAATTCTAGGCTTGTTGCCTCATACCCCACTGCCACTAGAAATCCAGCAAGGAGCCCAATTGTCCTTTAATAGCCCACAGTTGAGGCAGGTAGTGGCTTCTCCTCTGAGTGGATTAGAAGTAATTCCCACTTTGAGAACGCAGGAGACAGGAGGAGCAGATAGGCCAAGGTAAAAAGCTAGGGAAGCAATTCTTCTTTCAAGGGGAAAAAATATATGTATTTGGCTTCTTTTTCACACATCCAACCCAGCAGAAAATTGGTTTGTGGAAGATGTAGGTCGTGGCTCTGGCCCCAGCATCTGGATGCCTTATATTGTACACTATATTACCAGAGTAATATCGTGCACTTTATTAGCACCAGCAGGACTGGGGATTCCCATGGGGTCTGTTCTTTGCTGTCAGATGTGTAAGGCCATTTAATCTCCTTTATCAGATCTAGTTCTGCCTCCCCGATCCCCACCTCCTCTTGCAGAGCAATAAAGAAAATTTCTTCAGATTCGTTGGGCTGAAAACCAGCTTTTAAATACTCCTCCATCCTCCCCAACTCCTGTGTCTAATAAGCAAGCAAGCCAAGAAGGTGTCAATGCCTTGAAAATCAGCCTTGTGCAATTGAATAGCAGTTTTCTCAGGAAATTTGTAATTGGAACGTCACCTTCTTTAAGCAGAGACTGGAGGAAGAATTTGTTGCTTAGCCTAGCTAGCTCTTGTCTCACCTAGGCACTGTGATCTTTGGGGACAAGGCTGGCGTTCTTTCATCAGAAACTCAATTATACCTTTGGTCCTGGCTGAGAGAAATGGCTAGAGCCACTTGAGAGACAGGAGAATTTTCTCTGGACAGAAACTGAGTACGTGCCTGGCCTGTTTGTGGGCCACTTTTGATGGAACCAGATAAGATATTCGGGGTTCAAAGAGATTTGTGTTCAAAATCTGAGTTCTATACTTATTCTCTGTGCTCTGTGATATTTGTTCATACATGGAGAGTGTGCCAGCCCTGAGATTGGTGCTGGTGGGTCTTGGGATTAAGACATGGCCTACCTTTGGAGAGATCACAATCTCATGGATAGAAGACATGTATGAATGCATGCTATCAACAAATGGGGTAAGTGCTATGGGGAGTCTCAAAGAGGCCCCTGACCCAGTCATGGGACTCAGATCAGGAATCTGCAAGGAACAGATGCCTGAGCTGAATGCATCCTTAAGTTGGTCCCTTCACCTCTGAGCCTCAGTGTCCTCAGCTGTAAAATGGGATAATACCCACCCTGAAGGGCTGTTTGGGAAATACACTGTACTATGTACAATATGCTTAGCCTGAAGTCTACCACATAATAACTAGTGTTATTTAAAGGACACAAGGAGCTGGACAATAACATGAATAGTCATTTTTACTTGTATGAAAGAACTGGAAAGCAGTCTGGATAAAGATCTGGGTGGCATGCATTAGACTCTGCATTAGGCTCTGCCTCTTATTAGCTGTGTGACCTTAGGCAAGTCACGTCACTTCTCTGAACATTGAGCTTCTTCTCCATCAGATGGGGAAAAGGTTAGGAGGATCAAAGAAGATAGTTAAATGGCAAGGAACTTCACAAATTGTAAGGTATTGTGCTTCTCAAAGGAATTTGTCTCATAACTATTATCATCATAACTTACAGGTCTAAATAATGTAGAAAGTCAGTTCTATAGAAAGGGATGGATTGTTAGTGCCCAGGAAGTGAATTGGAGGTTAAACAAGCCCCAGGCTTGGTGCAATGAACATCCATCTGTAGGGCATGATTTTAAGCACAAGTTCTTAACCATGAGAGGATGGGAGGAGAGAGTCATGTAAAAATTACCCAGGGATTTTTTTTTTCAAAATGTATATATACATATACACAGCCCACACCACATACACTCTTGCCCAAGGTATGTCAGAATCTGCAGTGGGCATTGGTGGTGTATATTTATAGAAAGGTGATTACCCATCACTCTTCCCTAAAGTTAAGTTCCACAGTTTTAGAAAGCATTCAAAAACCACTGGATGATAAATTCCCATCTCTCTAACTCTTGTCATCACCATTTTAGCCTATTTGCCTGGCCCTCTGCCTAAAGCATATTCTAATGGATTAAATACTTGGTTTCCAGATATGGCTTCTTCATTTCTATCATTCTGTCTGTGTATTCAGCCAGCATTCTGCCAGTTGGGCAATTTTAAAATTTAAGAACATTTAGATATCTGAATTATAGGACTATGGAACCTGCCAGACCTACAGAACAGGAACATTTTCATGACCAAAAAAGAATTTTGAGAGTCCCATTAGAGCTGAAGATGCTATAAGACCCAGAGAGGTGCAGTCTCCACTGGTGGTCCTGGCCATCATTGGCACAGAGCTGGTGATGCCATGTTGCATTTGCATAGCTCCCCAGGGGCACAAGGCACCTGCCTGCACACTATGCCAGTGACCTTCGGGGAACTCTGTGAAGTCACCAGAGCAAGTAGCATTGCCCCCATTTCACAGATAAAGTGAGAGGTTCAGAGAAGTTAAGGGACTTCCTGGTGGTCACAGAGTCAGTGAGGGGCACAGCTAGCACTCACCTGGTGTGCAGGCTTCCAGGCCACCATGTGCTGGGGATGTTTTCTGCCCCGGAGGCTATGGCAGTGTGATGAAATCTGACATGGTTTGCTTGCAAGCATGTGCCAGTGACTGTTCTTTCAGACGGGCATGCTCAGGAGCTGTTATCATTTTACAAGCTGATACCAAGAATCTGTTTAAAATTCGATTTCTTTCAATACAGCTCTTTGAATCTTTTCCCCATTGTTTAGGGTCAGGTGTTCAGTTCTGTAAGGACCTTGTGAGCAACGAGTGGGCAGATCAGTTCTAGCAATCTATATTTGACCCTGCTACTCCAGTGGGAAAGCAGCACAACACAATAAATTCTGATTCATATTTTCTCAGGCAAGCTGTATTTCAGTGGGGACTTGGAGAAAAAAGAAAAGAAATATGTGTATATGGATGTGCATGTGTGTATGTGTGTGTGTACACATTTGTATGTGTGAGTGTGTATTTGTATTTCTAAAAGACCCATCAACAACAGTACACTAGGGAAAACCACAGCTCTCTAAGAATGTCCCTGGGGTAAAAAAAAAAAAAAAAAAAAAAATCAATCTCATAGCTTTCCACCTGGGCTGGCCAATGATCACAATGATAATGCCTTATAACTGCACTGTTTGCAAAATGTATTCACATTGATAATATATATATGTGTGTGTGTGTGTGTGTATATATGTATATATGTGTATAAATGTGTATACGTGTATATATATAGCAAATTCTTACCAAAGAGGACTTACCTTCTGCGAGCACTTGCTGCACTGCTTCTTATGTCTTATTTTATTGAATTATCCCAGAAACTCTATAATAAGGGTAACATTATCTCCATTTTAAATTGGGGAAATGGGTTTAGTGGGACAAAGTGATTTACCCCAAATTGCATAGCTGGAAAGGCCCTAAGTTCTTCAGTAGAGAGGATCAGAGACTCCACAGCCACTGCTCTTTAACTTGTTATGTGGCGGGCTCTATACTTACACATCTGTAAATTTTTATTTAAAATTTAAAAAATGACTATGTTAAAGGGCTCTCTTCTACCTTCCACCTTCCCCCCAGCCCCTTGCTCACAGAAGAAACAAATAGTCTTTGGTTTCCTGGAGTGACATCTCGTGGCTAGAAGAAAATGTAAAGATTATCTATTTTAAACCAGTGTTTCATGGCCATGGTCATGTTAGAAACACCTGGGGCGCTTTCTTCACACCTGGGGTGCTTGGATCCCACAAATTAAATCAGAATCTCTTGGGCCATCAGTTAGTTATTTTTTTAAATCTTCAGTTGATTCTAATATGAAGCCAAAATAGAGAATTACCCACTGTGATTCACTGATCACTCTTTCTACAATATCCCTGCAAAATTTTCAACCATCTTTTGCTAGAAGGCCCCCAATGACAAAAAGTTTACCATTCCAGGAGACAGCTAATTTTATTTTTGAGCTTCTTTTTTCAGGGAACAAATAACTCAAATAAACAAAAACAAAACCTTTTTACTGGTCAGGCAGTGTCACTTCTGTTATCTCATTTAATACGCACAGGCTTTTTATTATTGTCTCAACTTTAGAGATGAGGAAACTGAGGATCATTTATGCCTTCATTCAACAAAAATGTATTGGCTGTACGCCTGCTAAATAAAAAGCCTATTGTAAGCACAGATAGACACTGGCATGGCCCTGGCCCTCAGGGAGCTTTCATCAGTGGGGAAAGACAGTTATTAAAAACCTGATTGCACAGCTAATCAATTACAATTGTGATGTGTGCAATGGAGGTGAAGTGCAGAATGCAGTGATCATTTGTAACAGGTGGATCTGGCCAAGGGTGTGTGGTGCAGGTGTGTGTGTGCAGGTGCATGTACAGGGAGGCCAGGGAAGATTTCCTCAGTGGAGCACCCATCTTAGTGAGCTGCGGAAGAGAAGTAGAAATTGACTAAGGAAGGGGTGGTGAGGAGCGTGGAAGGAGTCAGCTGTGTGCAGGAGATCCTGAGGCTGGAAAGTGCCCAATGCTTTAGAGGAACTGGAAAGTGGCCAGCAAGTTGCCAACCCTGGGAGAAGGGGCCCAGAGGTTGGTGGGAGTGGAGATTGGGTAGGCCCAGTCTGGTCCTGGTGATTCAGACCAGAGAAGCCTTTGCAGGATGCTAACCAGAGGTGTTGCATGTCCAGATGTGTGCTTGTCAAGGATGAAGCTCAGCTTGGAGATGTGGATGAGTCTTCTTCCCTTACCCCGTAGCTGCCTGCTTTTCTATATAAGAAGCATTTCCTTCCTTCTTTCCTTTAAAAATATGCTCTGAAGGGCACACCAAAACCAGAGAGAATGCATCAACAGCTTCCAGTGGGAGAGTTCTGTGTGAGGAGGGGAGGAGAGGAGGAACATAGATGGAAACCCGTAGACAGAGGAGGAGCCTTGGGAAGCTGGGCTGTGGGTGCAGAGCCCTTTTCTCTTTCTTCTAGCGCTCATATCACTATGTTCTTATGCTTTTAAGAAAAAATGTATCTGTATTTTAAATTGAAACACACACACACACACACAGAGAGAGAGAGAGAGAGAGAGAGAGAGAGAGAGAGAATGGCCAGAATTATGGGGGATTACTCCTTAGAAAACCACATGGAGAGTGTGTATAACCCTGTCTTAAATACCTTTTTAAAAACCACCCACAATCTAAAAGGAGTCTCTGATGCACTGCGTGTTGATAGAATCTGCTTTTGGGAAGTGTGGATGTGTGTCTCAGGAAGTTGGGGAAATGGACTTTTCTCTCTGTGAGTAAAATGCCATGCACAGAAGCCTCCCTCTGGAAAACATGCAGAGGTTGTGGTCATTGAGCATTTAATTTAAATATTTGACTCTGTTAGCTTTTTCTCTCTTCTTCCTCATTTCTCAGCACCTTCTCCCCTAACCAGACAATACACTGGTACCAGCCCAGGTTTCAATCTCAGATTCAAGGACAGAGAGACCAGCAGATGCAGGTACCCACAGAGACATGGTCTAAAACACAAACATTCTCATGTACAAGTATCCACTGGCCTCCTCACTCTCCTGCACATACACATGCAGACACCAAACACCCACAACTTTTACCTTCAGGAAGCAAAACATGCCTCACCTGGCCTGATGTAATGTCCCAGAAACTTTCTGCTCCCCAAAGCTGGAAATTCTTAACCTCACCCTCAGCCCTGGCTTGGCTCAACCCTGACCCTAGGGGTTCTAGAATGCCCACTTTAGAGCACAAGGTGTCCTACTCCAGGCGGCTCTGGCTCCTGCTCTGACCCTCATCCCAGTTCCAGGAGTTGGACTCCTAAACAGGTGGTGTCACTTGGTCATGGTTTTGTTCTCTTGAGTGCATGAATATCCTCTTCATAGGCTGCCCAAATCTCTGTTTCTTTCTTACGTCAGCCTTTCTCTCTGTCCCCCTACTGGACTGGAGACCAGCTCACCCAGAAGGCAAGGATAGAGTATTTTATCCCTGTACCATCTCACCAGTACTCTGCACAGTGTAGGTGGTTATATACAATACATACATACATAATTATATGTATAATAAATATATATTTTAAAATATATAATAAATGCATGTTGAATGGCTGAAGAAACAACTCATACTACCTCAGAATTATATTAGCACTCATTTTCTGTAAAGCTGATATAGTACCTCTACTGATTGATGATTGATTGATTCATTCATTCAAATATTAACAGATATTTATGAAGCATATACCAAGTGCCGGGCTCTGTGTTAGGTACTATGGGGAATGTGCATGAAGTGCTTAAAAAGTGCATGCTACATAATAAGCATATTATAAATGCTTGTTAAAAAATAAAGTAGATGGAATGAGTCATGATGCTTACAAGTTAGGTGTGTGGCCTGTATCTTAGTTTCTTTATCTCTAAAATGGGAGAATAATACTCCTAATATCCCAGTGCGGTTATAAAGATTAAATCAGATAAGTCAGTAAAGTTCCTATCATGGCTGTTGGCAAACACTGGGACCTCCAGAATTACTTGACAAGGCGAGGAAGCAAATAACTGTGTGTAAATAACTGAATGAATGGTTGAGTGTAGGAAAATGAATAAGTGGGTAAAGGAATGAATGATGTCCTCCTCCCTACTTGCGTATCTTTCCAGCCAATGCTGGGCCTGCTGACCTTGTCTTCTGGGCTACCCCTGGGGACTCCTGTCACTCTACTCTGCAGACACCAGACTTCATCCTTCTCTACTTTCGGGGTTCTGGTCTGCCTCCAGGCTCCAGGTCCTGCTTGGGCCCTTGCGTACTCACCTGTAGTCTGAGAAGAGACAGAGTCCAAGGAGCACAAGCTTTGGAGCCAAGTAGACTTGGACAAGTTTCTTATCCTTTCCCAACTTCCATTTTCTTTTTTGCTCATAAAATGCAGGCAGAAACACCTGGGGCTATTTGGGGAATTAATGTATAGAAAGTATCTAAAACATACAAGATGCTTATACTAATTATTATGTGCTTGCTGAAAGACATTTGCCAAAATATAACTGTTTAGATCACACTTCAATTCTAGTCATCCAGAATTGAATCCCAATTTTGGGAGCCCTGAAAGCATCCATATGAATTCAGCCCGCTTTGTGTTGTGTAGGAAGAAAAGCAAAAACATGTATACTGTTTTATAAGCCATCAAGCCTTCTGATTTTTCCCTGAATCAGACATTCAAAATATCTTTTCAGTGTCAGTTTCTCCTGCAGTTTCTGCCTTGAAAGAGCATAATGATCTATTGCTTTCTTTTTGGGTTGATTGTTCTGTAAGAGTTACAATCCTTGCATTAGAGAAATGCAAATCAAAACCACAATGAGATACCATCTCATGCCAGTTAGAATGGCGATCATTAAAAAGTCAGGAAACAACAGATGCTGGAGAGGATGTGGAGAAATAGGAATGCTTTTACACTGTTGGTGGGAGTGTAAGTTAGTTCAACCGTTGTGGAAGACGGTGTGGCGATTCCTCAAGGATCTAGAACCAAAAATACCATTTGACCCAACAATCCCAATACTGGATATATACCCAAAGGGTTGTAAATCATTCTACTATAAAGACACATGCACACATATGTTTATTGCAGTGCTATTCACAATAACAAAGACTAGGAACCAACCCAAATGCCCATCAATGATAGACTAGATAAGGAAAATGTGGCACATATTCACCATGGAATACTATGCAGCCATAAAAAAGGATGAGTTCAAGTCCTTTGCAAGGACATGGATGAAGCTAGAAACCATCATTCTCAGCAAACTAACTCAGGAACAGAAAACCAAACACCACGTGTTCTCACTCATAAGTGGGAGTTGAACAGTGAGAACACGTGAACACAGTCGGGGGAACATCACACACCAAGGCCTGTTGGGGGGTGGGGGCTAAGGGAGGGATAGCATTGGGAGAAATACCTAATGTAGATGATGGGTTGATGGGTGCAGCAAACCACCATGGCACGTGTATACCTATGTAACAAACCTGCAAGTTCTGCATATGTATCCCAGAACTTAAAGTATAATAAAAATAATAATAAAAAGAGTTGCAATCCATCCATCTGTTGACCCATCCATCCATCCATCCATCCATGCATTCATTCAATTCAGAGGAACAGAAGCAGGTTAGAGTTGCTGCAGTAAGGTCTGTAAGGTGTGATGGGTGCTGTGGTTAAATTCTAAAACTGCATTCTCAAGAGAAGTCTGCTGGTTGCACTAGGATCTCTAGCACAGTTCAGAGCCCCACTCCAGTGTACTGAAAAAGAATCTGTGTGTCTGAAACTCACATCTTTAACCAGTATCTCAGTGGCTCTTATGCAGCTTAAGTTTGAAAATCACTCACTATATCATGGAGCATTTTCAATATCCTTCCAAAGAACTTGAACTTGAGGCTCCCCTCAAGGAGTAACTGAAAGGCCAGATAGAGATGGCAGAACTTGGCTTATAAGTGAATCACTTGAAAACCTTTATTCATGCACTCACTTAATAGAGTGCAAAATCTGCACCAAGAACTCTTTCGTTGCTGAAAATATATCAGTACAAGGGCTGTTAGGATTCCTGCCTTTAGGAGGCTAACAATCTAATGAGGAGAGACAGACAGTGAACATCTAATACATATATTACATATATCTTTTGGAAATATTAATACGGTAAAAAAAAAAAAAAAAACACTATCATGGAGTGGACCAGAGATTGCCCAGGATTGAGGGCTGCCTTTTCCATAGCCATACCCTCAGGCATCTCTGAGGGAGGGAGGTCATTTGACTTGAGACCTGAATGACAAGAAGGAGCTAGCCTTGCAAGGATCTTGGGGAAGAATTTTAGGTAAATGGAATGGCAAAGACAGAGGCCCAGAGTTGCAAAAATATTTGAAGTGTGCAAGGGACACGTAGAAGATTGGGATGATTATAGCCTAGAGAACCAGTAAGAAGATGATAGAAGAGGGGGTCAAAGAAGTCAACCTTACAAAACATGCAGTTTTTATGCTAATGGTTTCAGTAAGGCCTATTTCTGCAGATGTATGGGCAAGGGGAAGACAGCATCTCTGCAAATGCCCTTTGATTCATTGACTTCTCTGATAGAGGCCCTCTGAAACCTGCCCATGCTGAAAATCCTATGCTGGAAGGAAAACCCCATCTCTGACTTTTTACCTCATGCGATTAGATTTTCCAGGATTGCTCACTCACTCTAGGTAGAGGCCAAAGAGCACCATGAGGCCACAGTGGCCTGCCCCAAGAGCAGTTACTTTAGATTTGCTTG
Source organism: Homo sapiens (assembly GCF_000001405.40). NCBI lineage: Eukaryota > Metazoa > Chordata > Mammalia > Primates > Hominidae > Homo > Homo sapiens. Next base: position 58,214,810 of record NC_000001.11, on the reverse strand, counting down.
TCTGGAAATGGTGATCTTAGTCAAAAGCTTAGCCTTGATCCAACATCAGACATAATCTCATTTGAAAAGAAATGTTGCAAAAATATTGTTTCTACAAGCCTACTGCTTCTGAAAGCTAGCAAGCTTGTAAACAAGAATTGAGAGGAGTAGAGAAACTAATCCATGTGTTTATTCATTATTTAACAAACCCTAATAGCTGTTACTGAGGTCACCCAGGATTTCTATGTTGCTCAATCCAGTGGCCACTTTTCAGAACTCATTTCACCAGATGTCCAAGCACAATTTTATATAGGGGACCACTCCCTCTTTCTTACTTTCTTTTGGCTTTTCTCTGCCACACTCTCCTGGTATGTGCAGCCTCCCTGGTTTATCTTTTTGAATCTCCTTTGTCAGCTTTTAGCTCCAAGTGCAGCCCGTAAGTACTGATATTCCTTCAGGTTTAAGCATAAGTCAGTCAGTGATAAGCAAAAGGTTTGAATAGGGTAATATGTGAGCACACAACAGGGGAACTTTGTTCAAATGGGGCTTCAGTGAGGCGTCTAGTTCAGAGGCTTCATGAAGAAGTTACCCAACTGAAAGAGGAGACAGAATAGTCCAAATAAAGACTTGGAGGCTTTAATGGCAGGGCATGGCATGTAGGATTTTGAGGTCACAGAGCCAGAAGTTTATGACAGGAGGCTGCAGAAAATAAGGGTGGAAAGGCAATCAGGAGCAGGTGGATGAAGATCTTTTTTCCCGTGTAACTATGTTGAGATATTGAAATGTTTTAACCTGGAGGGTGACATGTTTTGCATTTCAGAAGCAGTGTGAAAGATAGAGTTAAGTGGGCACAAGACTCAGGCAGGATTACAATTAAAAGCCCTTTGGAGTAATCCACGTAAGAGATGATATGGCTTGGCCTAAGGTTATGGCAAAGAAACAGAGAAGGGTGGATGGATTCCAGTGGGCAGGCATGGGAAACAAGTAGGAGGTGAAGTCATCAGACATAAATATTGTTGAATGAGGAGTACAGGTACTGAAGTCCCAATTTAGGAAAGCACAAAGTGGTAGACTACAGATCCAGACACTTCTGTAATTCAAGAAAGGAAGTTGGCTTTGTCCAAACTTATATAAGTGATATGGTTTGGCTATGTCCCTACCCAAATCTCACCTTGAATTGTAGTTCCCATAATCCCCAGGTGTTGTGGGAGGGACCCAGTGGGAGGTAATTAAATCATGGTGGTGGTTACCACCATGCTGTTCTCATGGTAGTGAGTGAGTTCTCACATGATCTGGTGGTTTTATAAGGGGCTCTTCCCGGCCTTCGCTCTGCACTTCTTGATGCCACCATATGAAGAAGGATGTGCCTGCCTTCCACTGTGATTGTAGGTTTCCTGAGGTCCCTCCCCTCAGCCATGCTGAACTGTGACTCAGTTCAACCTCTTTCCTTTATAAATTACCCTGTCTCGGGTATGTCTTTATTAGCAGCATAAGAACAGACTAATACAATGACCCTGCCTTTAATCTTAAGACTTAAAATCTCTCTTTATGAAATGTCTGGATTGGAATAGACCTCAAAGATTCTCAAAACCCCTCTTAGAGATGTGGAAACTGAGGCCAACAAAAGAATCAGTTGCCTGAAGCCATATAACTCTTCACTTTCATTCCTTATACCAAATTTGACCTTTGCAAATCAGATCACATTGACCTTTTCGGATTACTGTAGATTCTTCCTTTCTAACATCAAGTCCTTACCTTAAAATACTGATCTGAAAAACACAGCTGCAGTGTTACGTCTATTTTGTTTGTTTCTTTTTTGGAAGTTATTTTAGCTTTTTAAATGGGCTCTAAGAACCAGCATTCTGAGGCAGCAAAATACCAAGTAAGGGTTGAGGTTTTCTTAACTCTGTTGGATCTGGAACACTGATAACTCCACCCCCTCCACCAGCTCTGTTTGTCTTATTTAACTAAAAGTTTTTAACAACCAGCTGATGTGTTCCCAAATGGAACTTGAATCAGAGGAAATTAGAAATCATTCCAATAAAATGTACCCTGGTTCACTCCTTCTGTCTTCATGATGTTTTTCTCCTAATTAGGGGTGGGGTGATGGGAAAAATAAAAAGTCTTGAAGTGCTGAATACTCCATTAAGTTAATATGAGATAAGATGAGTTTAAGTTTCCCCCACCAGCTGCATTTATCTTAATTTCAAAGAGCTTCAAGAGTGGGGGAGATGGTATTTCCATAACACTGAATATGCCTAAGAGGTGAAGGAATAATGGTGGGAAGATTTGTGCAATCTTCCTAAAGTAAACCAACCAGATGGCCTGGATGTCAAGGCCTCAGACAGAATTACCTGAGGATGTGAATGCTGTAGTGATTAAGAATGTGAACCTTGCAGGTTACCTCTATGAATTTAATTCCTCACTCGACTCTAACTGTGTGGTCTTTGACATTTTACCTCACTTTTCTATGACTTGCTTTACTCATCTGTAAGATGGGTATAATCATGCCTACATCACAGGATCATTTTTGGATTAAATGAGCAATAAACAAGGCAATCCATATAAAGCACATAGTATAGTACTTCGCACCTAGTGGGCATTCAATCTGTTCTTCTCTGCTGCTGTAAGAGACTTCCACTTGAACCATGGAAGGAGGAACTGGTTCATTAACAACTGGCCCAGGGAGAATACACTCTGCAGGAAACTGCAGGGTCATTAAACACCAATGGAGGTAACAAGACCATTAATTTCCCAGGGTTTCCTTTATTGAGCCACACAGTGAGGTGATGCTTAACCCAGCAGGAAGGGAGGGGTTTGGAGTGGGATCTGGGGAGCAGGGGATCACAGCTATTTTGTAAGGTTGTGAAATGTGAAATGCCAGGATTGTGCACTCCCTGTATTGGCCTTGTGGATCATCCCCAAGGACAGAGCGTCTGAAAACGATTTCTTATGTGTCTGTTGCAGGCAGTGATGTGTAGAGTAAAGAGCATTGACTTTGGAATCAGAGCTGACTATGAATCCCATTTCCACTATCACTAGCAATGAGACCACAGGAAAGTGATTTCATCTCTCGTTGTCTCAGTTTTTTATCCAAAAAAGGAGAAAATAATGAGTTGTTTTAAGGGCAGAATTAGAGATACAGGAGAAAGCACTTTGAGAATATTTTCTTCTTGGAGTATTTTTCAAGCCATAGGCAATGGAAAACATTATCTTATTATGATTGTAGCAATTGAAAGTTGTGTCTTTTCTCACTTCTTTGTATTAACCTTCTCTTTCTCCTTCATTTGTTTGCTTGCAATAAGTAGGTGTGTGAGTTACAGCTAGCAATTGTCAACTAATCATGCCTTGACTAAAAATCATTGCACAACTCACAAAGTGAAGAGCAGGTGCAGTGTGATCATCAGAAAAAGTTATTTTCTTAGAATGAATTTCTAAATGTGAAAAATCAATATCACTTCAGAGAAAATTTCTGGAAGAACTGAATAGACTGACATATCACCATACTGATTTGAATGGAATGCCTAAAATAATTTTAGCTGTGATTTTTTAAGCAACTAGAACAAAGGGAGATTCTATGAGTTACACAGATGACTGTGTCAGACAGTGGAGATATTTCTTTTTCAAGATAAATCTTGATGTAGAGATGGCTCTTAAGACATTTTTACAAGGATCTAGGCAGCTGACCGATGTTCTTACCATGGTTCATGACACTCTTCACCTGCCTTTCTGGCTCATCTCCTGTCCTCCTCACCTTGATCTCTCTGTTCCAGGTTTCTAGATGTTCCTCCATCAAGCCATGAAAACTACCTCAGGGCCACTGCAAGATCGGTTCTCGTTACCTAGAATGCTCTCTTCCCCCAACTTTGCCTTGTTAATTTCTACTTATTTTTCATAACTCTCCTCAAATAACATGTTCTCAGAGAAAGTGTCTAAGCCCCCAGATTCCTTCTTATTAGCCCCTCATAGCACATTTCCCTCATAGAATTTATCTCAGTTTCTCATTAAGTACTTGGTCATGAGTCATTTTCTACCTTGTCCTCATGTGAGCTCTCTTACAGGAAAGTAAGTTATGCTCACCAACAATTCCATGTACTCAATACAAGTACTGGCACATGATAGGTGCTAAACAGCAACTGGAAAAAAAGCAATTATGGAATAAATGAATACATGAATTCTCTATAATAACACAGCTTTTCAAATAAAAGCCTTTTAGACCAGAGGGGTCTGATGTTGCTCATCTTCATCCTGGCAGTAGGAATTGTCTGGATATGAATTGCAGTAGACATTTCTCAGCTCAGAAAGAAGACATTGATCAGGAAGAATGCTCTGCTATTATTTTTTTCCTTTAATTCACTTGTGTGTTGGGGGTAGGTGGGGAGAATAAAGTCCAAAATGTTTCTCATGACATACTGAGAGCTCCATGATCTTTAGGATCACCTTCCTCCAATTTGCATTCAGAGCATGTGCTCCTATCATGCAGATCTGCTGACAGTTTTATGAACATGCTATACCAATTCCAGCTTCTGTGCCTTTCCTTGTGCAGTTCCTCCCCCTAGAATGCCTCTCCCTAGTGGGAAAACATGTAAAATAAGGTAACAGACTTCAGCTATGGAGTCAAGCAGATGCAGATCCAAATCTTGGTTCTGCTGCTTAAATCTCGGACGTCTTGAGGGTATTTATATTTTAAAAATTCGTGTAAAAATATCAACCTCAAGAGTTGTTGTAAGTACTAAATTTGAAAATGTATGTAGAAGGTTTATTTCTTTGAGTGGCAAACAAGTGCTCATTAAATTGTGGCACTATTATTATTGCTACATCTTACTGTAAAATTCTCCTCATTAGGAGAAGAGTTAGTAAAGGCTTCAAATGACTTTTTACTTGATAATTTCTCCTAGGAAAGATAAGGGAAACTTTCTCAGCACACCTTACATTCACCTGCATTATACTACGTATTTTTTTTCATTTTCTAATTGTCTGCATATCAATTTTTTATCTAATTTTAATGTTCTTAAAGACGATTCAAATAGTCCCTAAGTGTATTTTCAGCACCAAGGACAATACCATATATACTAGGGGCTACATAACTATTTTTTCAATGTGTTTAATAAACTTGTTAGAAAAATACACTCAATATGCAAAAAAATTAGATCAGACATTTTCTTTGGCTCCTTAATTTGCTTACGTCTTCCATTTATGTCAATCAAACATATTTAGCCTTTGTGCTGGAAGGTCTACACAGTGCTGACATTCCTGGTCTTTAAGAAAACATTATGCAATGGCTAAATGGTGGCTTTTTTTTTCATGCTTTTCGCTATTTGCATTGGAAAATAGCTACTTAGCATATTTACCAACTACTTTTTATAAGGTAGTTTTCATTGTTGTTGTTCTTGTTGTTTTTGTTAGCCTCCAGTTCTGAGCATGTGATAACAAAATGTTTTTGCTTCAGATTTGCAAGTGCAGTAGTGTTAGTTCTCAGCTCAGTTTGTCACATGAAAAATGTTCTACAACAAAGACGATTAATTTGTTTCCTACGTGTGAATGCTTTGAAATGGAAGGAAGCTTATCTCTCATTGGATTCTAGTGGGTTATAACTACTAGGAGAACTCCAACCTATAGCTGTCCCTGTAGCCTCATTTCCTAGCAAATCCCAGCTCACATTCTATAATGCATCATTGCTGGTCAGCCTTTAGATCCCCACATTATTTAATGTTCTTGCACTTTTGTCTAAGCTGTTCAGTGAAGATACTTGGAGTGTCTCACCTCACTTATCTCCTGAAAAACTCTTCCTTATCTCTCAAGACTCATTTTATGTGTCACTTTCTCTAGGAAGCCTTCCTTGAATGGCCTAATCTGGTTCAGGTTTCTCTTAATTAACTCCAGTCCATTCCTGATTTTTGCTTTAATGAGTCGTTTTAGGGGGTGGAGGGAAGTTCAGCTTAATGTTTAAGAAAATAAGTTTTAACTCTATGAAGATTCCTTTAAAAACTAAAGGTAGATCTACCATTTGATCCAGCAATCCCACTACTGGATCTACCAGAGGAAAAGAAGTCATTATATGAGAAAGACGCCTGCACATGCACGTTTGTAGCAGCACCATTCACAATTGCAAAAGCATGGAACCAGCCCAAATGCCCATAATCAACAAGTGGATAAAGAAAACATGGTATGTATATACCAGAATACTACTCAGCCATAAAAAGGAATGAAATAATGGCATTCACAGCAACCTGGATGGAGTTGCAGACCATTATTCTAAGTGAAGCAACTCGGGAATGGAAAACCAGACATCATATGTTCTCACTTATAAGTGGGAGCTAAGCTACAAGGATACAAAGGAATAAAAATGATATAATGGACTTTGGAGACTTGGAGAGAAAGGTGTCAAGGGGTGAGTGATAAAAACAATATACATTGAGTACAGTGTACACTGCTCAGGTGATGGGTGCACCAAAATCTCAGAAATCTCCGCTAAAGAACTTGTCCATGTAACCAGACACCACCTGTTTCCCCAAAACCTATTAAATTAATTTTTTAAAATGCTAAAAAAAAGAAAAGAAGTTTTAACTCTAAAATGTAGCCTGAGATTGAATTCGAATTCCACTACTGATATGGTTTGGCTGTATCCCTACCCAAATCTCATCTTGAACTGTAGTTCCCATAATCCCCATGTGTCATGAGAGGGACCCAGTGGGAGGTAATTGAATCATGGGGGCAGTTACCTCTATGCTGTTCATGTGATAGTGAGTTCTCATGAGATCTCATGGTTTTGTAAGGGACTTTCCCCTCATTTTCACTCTACACTCCTCCTTGCTGCCACCATGTGAAGGAGGACATGTTCACTTCCCCTTCCACCATGATTGTAAGTTTCCTGAGGCTTCCCCAGCCCTGTGGAAGTGTGAGTCAATTAAACCTCTTTCCTTTATAAATTCCTCAGTCTCAGGTATGTCCTTCTAGCAGTGTGAGAACAAACTAATACAACTACTTACTAACTTTGTGATCTTGGGAAAGTTACAGACTCTAAGATTGCATTTTTTTTCATGAAATATGTCTTTTCAGGACAGATATTAATATTAGTAAGGAACTCTGTGTTGACTACCTATATCAAAACACTTATATGCCACATTAAAAAGTATCTATCTATTTCTCCTGCAAGACTTCAAGTAATCAACCATTTCAGGTTGTCCAGCACTGAGGGGATTTCTCGAATGTGGGGCTTCCAGTATTAAAACCAGGACAGTCACAGGTAAACCAGGATGGCTGATCACAGTTGCCCTCACTGGACCATAAATAACTTAAAAGTAGGGACTCTGACTTCTAGGCTGTATATTCCCAATGCTGAGCACATTGCTTTCTAAGCAGCAACTTGCTGCTGAGCACATTGCTTGCTGAGCACATTGCTTTCTAAGCAGCAGTAGGAGAAGTGGGATTAATGGGCATGCATCACCTAGGGAACTTTCTCTTTTCCCAACCATGCATAGATGTTTTCCTACCCTGGAGATTCCTTCATACTTCCACTCTAACCTCCGTCCTCACTACATTTGAAAACCGCTGTACCAGTTAGCTATTGCTGCATAACAAGCCACTCCAAAACTTAGTGTTTTATAGCAGCAGATATTTAACTTGCTAATTACAGTGTGAGTTAACTGGAGGGCTTGACTCATGTAGGATGGCTTTTCTTAAGTATCTGCAGGGTTAGTTGGCAAGTCAGCTGAGTTTTCTCATCTTGACTGGGTGCTAGCAGATGTTTGGAGCCTCCGCTGAGATGAATTGGCTCCCCAAGCTCTGCTTTATGTGGCCCCTTCATCCTCCACTAGGCTAGTCCAGGCTTGTTCTCATGTGGAGGCAGGGTGCTGAGAGAGCAGAAGTGTGCAGGCCCTCTAGGCTAAAAACAGCCTCATCATCACTTCTGTTGCATATAGTTGGCCAATTAAAGGCACAAAGCCAGCCCAGATATAAGGAAAAGAGAAATAGATGTCACTGTTTGAGCTGCAAAATCACATAGCAAAGAGCATAACTTCATGAACAACTGCAAGGATTGTGGCCATTTTTACAGTCTTTCACAACTACTAACCAAATGCAAAGCAATGCTCAATAAAAGCTTAAACTCAGAGTAGTTGTTGTAAGTCAAATAATTATCAGGTACCTACTCTATATCTGGAAGTGTGTTATTCACTACTCTAAAAACAGCAAGATCTGGGAAGGTATGTTGTCTAGAAATTGAGGGAAGCTTGTGCAGCAGGTAGATATATTATTTGTGGGAGGTTATAACATAGTGTTAGTACAGTGGTAAAGTATTCTCACTGGGAAGTGTGAAAGGAAAATAAATCTCAGGACCTCCAAATCACTAAGCCAAAGGGAATAGTCAGGCTGGGAACTGCTTAGGGCAAACCTGCCTCCCATTCTATTCCTTAAAAAAAATAGCAACTGAGATTAAAAATAGCTGCATACTTTCCTCCCAATGAATTTTCCTGTGGACAAAGGACAGACAAAACTCATTCATCCCTCTGCTCACTGAGATAAATGCATATCTGATTGCCTAATCAGAAACTCAAAAAAATGCAACCTACCTATGACCTGGAAGCTTCCTTCCCAGTTAGAGTTGTCCCGCCTTTCTGGACGGAACCAATGTATATCTTACATGTATTGGTTGATGTCTCATGTCTCCTTAAAATGTATAAAACCAAGCCGTGCCTCGACCACCCTGGGCACATGTCATCAGGACGTCCTGAGACTGTGTCATGGGCGCACGTCCTTAACTTTGGCAAAATAAACTTCCTAAATTGACTGAGACCTGTCTCAGATATTTGGGGTTCACAGAAGTAATATATACAAATAAAACCATAATGATTAAAAAAAAATACTCAGCTGGCCAGTTTCAGAAAGTTTCACAAGTTGGCCTCAGAAAAGGATATGAACTTGGCATTGACTAACTGGGTTCCCTCAGATTCTGGGACAGATTGGTCCGCTCTGCCTTAGAAAAGGAGGAAGCATCAGACAGGGTTCCAGGGCCTTGAGGGTAGGACTGTTCCTTACACCTATGCACAATCTTGGTCTTTTAAGGCTACTTTCATGGACCAGTGTTCATCAGGTTTGCTGGCGCATTCATCATTCAATTAAAGAATGTTAATGACAACATTGGGGAAATCATATAGTTTGGCCCCAATTGCTGGCAAAGTGGAAAACAGTGAAAACAAAAGCACTCGGCTACAAAGGAGTCATTTAATTTGATATTTTTTAGTTCAATGAGCTAAACAGTTGAATTAATTAAAACCTACTTTAGGTCCACTTTATATATTTAACTATCACAAACAGGTTCTCAGGGCCTTGAGGGGCCATGGGTGAGAAGACCTTGAACACTAGCAGCAAGCTGCAGTTTCAGGGACACATGTGGTTTGAAAATCACACATTCTTGCAGAGGAACACTGGAGTTTATTGCAGATGTGGGAATAAACCGGGTCATAGCCATGGAGTAAAAAGACCTTAGGAGGGTGGTGATTTGGGGAAAGGGGAATGAATTAAAATAACACAATCTTTGCAGAATAGAATAGTACTGTCATTAGACCAGAGCCTGTGAGAGAAAAAAAATAAGTCTTGCCTGAAAGAGTTGTCCAGAGTGAACCCACTCAGATGGAAGTCTGTCCATGGGCTGTGAATTCAGAATTCTAGCATGTGCTGCTTGGCTGTAGAGCTGTGAACCTGGGATTGGGGCCCGGCAGGCTCCTATGTAATCCTACTTGCTGTGTGACCTCGAGCAAGTGACTTCAACCATTTTGACCTCAGTTACCTCATCAGTGAAATGAATACTATTATTATAATATTATAGCTCTTATATCTATTACAGAGCTGCTACCAGACTGATACTATCACATATGTAACACAAGCTGATGTTAGTTATTAATATTATCATGGTAAACCTTAGATTTTGATGGTTCATAGGAACTCTTAGTTGGAATCACATCGTGACGGCTTATGTTCAACTTCTCTGTTTTTATGGGCACATTTTGTAGACAGGTGTAGCAGATGCCATTGGTGCCTCATTCATATCCTGTAATGTTGGCAAAGGCTGCTTGATGCATTGGCCTGCACATACAGCAGGCTGGAAGTTTATGCGTGGGAATTAATGTCCCCCAGGAGCAGCCTTCAAACAACTACAAAAATGAATTGATGAACAAATACCTCAGCTTCTTCATTGCCTGGGTGAGACAACTCTGAAGAACTTTATTGATTCTCTCCTGGGGGTTCTGATAGGATTGAGCTGCAGCTGCCCACAGAGCTAATCTGTGTATCATCACCCCTGGTATTGGGCTTCTGCCCTTCCATGCCTCACTTCTCTACCCCCTACTGGTGCTTCTGGGGAACACCTCTCAAGTAAGCCACTTGGATTAAAATTTTTGTGCCATAACACAGTAGGGACTGTGTCTGATTCATTTCTGAATACTAGCGTTTTGATGCAGGGGGCATAGATGCATATTTGCGAAAGGAAATTTGAATTTAAGTTCTACCCTCTGGGGCTCTGACAAATAATTCGGTTCTATTATTTTCATGACAGTTCTTTGTGCCAACCTAGCTTTTATTTAACTCCCTCCCAACCAAACCAATCTCATTCTCCAAGAGCTGCATTTCCAATTCTTTCAAACTTTTCTCTCATGACTCGGTTTCAGGTTTTCTCTGTATCCTAGGTTGTGTGTTCATATAGGTGTGATCAAATGATGGCAGTTCAAAACTGAGCCACATAATGAACTTGATGCTTGCTCTGTGGCCAGGCAGTGGGGTAATTATTACAGGTAATGTCTTAAGTCCTTAGTTCAGTTAGATACATGGCCATGTTCTAATGCCACTAGCTAAACTCTTGAGTTTTTCTCAAATGCCTTCTGTATGCATGCTCTTTGACCTCAAGATGTAACATTCATTTAGCTATTTGTTCAATAAACTATATGCCAGGCTTTGGGTTAGGTTCTGGGCTTATAAAACTGAAGACATATGCCTGCATTTAAAAAGCTCTACATAGTCAACTGGGAGCCACAATAAACACAAAATACATCATTTTAGACTGAGGGAGACATGCAAAAAGATCATTGCAGTGCAGTTTGATCAATGTTATATGACATAGCAGTAGTTCTCATAGTGCTATCCTTGGACCTGCAGCATCAGCACCACCAGAAAACTTGGAAATGCGGGCCCCACCCATTCATGTCTACTAAATCAGAAACTCTGAAGCTGGGGCCAGCAATCTGTGTTTTAACAAGTCTCCCAGTGATTCTCATGCTCCCTAAAGTTTGAGAACCACTATGACAGAAAGAAGGAGAGGATTTAGTGGCAGAAAAAAGAAGAGTTAGCATATGTTTCAGTGTGTGTTTATGTGTATGGAGACAGTTGGGTGAATATGGGAAGAGAAATCAAGGAAGGCTTCCCAGATTAGGGAACCCTGAAGTAAGTCTTAAAGGAGAAATATGAGGGTGTTGTCTATGTCTTGGTTTGTTGCAAACCCATCCTGAGATGACCTAAATAATTTAAAGCCCAGATATTCCTAATGGTGAATCCAAAACAGATAAAATGTTTGATCACAATTGTGTCTTGGTTGAAGACAAATCATTACTTAAGAGTTTATAATCATAGAATGGGAAATTTAAGGAACACACGGCAGAAAAACCTTAGTTTTACCAAAGCATCCACTGGGGGTTCTGTTAAGTGATGCTGCCCTCTTCCCCTTACCCCTTTTTCTGCATCATGATTTTAAACTCTTAAGGGCAGGATCTTCTTGACCTGATTTTCCCTTTTTAAATTTCCAAGACTCCAGCACAATGCTCAGTTAATAGTGCTCTAAAAGTATTTCTCCATTTGATTTCCCAGGAACAAATGGTGCAAAGCAGGTTGTCTGTGCTCTTTTCTTTTGGCCCATGTGGCACTAAGCAATTGGTTTAAGTGATTGTAAATGAAAATGGCTGAGTTTAATCAAACAGATGTTTTGCTGTCACAGAGACATAACCTACCTGTGGAGAATGATTTGGAGGTGTGGGTGCTACATGTTGTTTTTGGTGGTCCCTAGAGTCTCAATTACACATATCGACAAAGCAACCCCATAGTGCAGGTGATTTTTATTGTTATAGAATAATATAAAGTATAATTAGCTTGTACAAATGATAGTAATTTCTAATGCCTGTGTAGTGTTTTCTATTTTACAGAACACATTCACGTCCATTAACTCATGTGATTCTCACAACTTTGTGAAACAGAAATTGACAGGTATTAATAGAATTCTTATTTTTTAGGTGGGGAAGCCATGAACCAGTGTAGCATCACTTCTGCTGTGCTCTGTTAGTCAAAGCAGTTACAGACCAGCTCAGCTTCAAGAGGAGGAGAAATAAATCCTACCTCTCAGGAGAATGTCAAAAAAGTTACACCATCTTTAATTTGCTACAGTGACCTTGGCACTTTATCTTGCTGAGCCTCAGTTTTGTCTATGAAGTGCAAATAATACTTACATCATGAGGGTTACTCAGTGGCAATTACTATCTTAAACCAATGGAGAAATAATTTAAGAAGGGACAACTGATCATAATATATGGCTATTTGGAAAGACATTCAATTAAAGTCAGAAGGCATTGATTAAGTAACAACTCTGACTGTTGTGAAGTCTTAAATGCTATCATCTAATTTCCAGATTGTCTTTTTTTTGTCTTTAAAGCTAACACTTATAAAGTGTTTTCTATGTGTCAAACAGTGTTTTAGGTTCTTATGTTTATTAACTTGTTTAATCTTCACAGCCATTTTGTGAGGTGGGTGGGATTGTTGTCATCCCCATTTCACCGTTGTGTAAATTGGGGCATGGAGGGGCTGAGGAGCTTGCTGAAGTGTTTGATAGAAGCAGAATTAGGTAGGTTGGATGTTGCTATAGAGGCTGCACTCCTCACTGCCATACTCTGCTACCTATCAGGTTTGTTACCTGTACATCAAGTCACTCCTCCCATTTCAGGGTAGGGGTACCTACCTTGAAAACAAAGAATTAAAACACAATTTGTCCCAGATTTTAAAATGGGGTAAATTTGGACTTCCCCATGAAATGTTGAGAAAATGTTTAAAGATTGAGAAATTTGAGAAAGCAGGAGATCGGATATCAGTTCAAAGTCCTCATGGAATTCTGCCAGGAATCCCCCAGTGCTTGCTAAAAGGTAATTTGCCTTTTTTCTGCAAACTTCCTCTGGGACTAAAGCTAACAGTGGACACAGAATTTTGAACAGACTCTCTGTGAAACCCTGAGACTTGGGGTCCTTCATCTACTTTTAAGTGTACATTTGTCAACTTCCAGAATTATAGACATACTTGACAGTGTTTCCTAATATTTTCTCCCCGTGGGGTGAGGCAGTTGAATTATTCATCATTTCTGTTTATGGACCTTTGGTATTCAGCAAAGCAGAGGCAAAAACTTAGAAAGAGCGCTATGTCCAGAGATCAGTATTCTGAAAGGGCACTTGTCAAGTGGAATTTCTTATTTGCTGCCTGAATCTTCAGAGGAGACAACTGAATTAATTAATAAAACAAAATACCAGAATTTTGGGAGGCCAAGGCAGGCAGATCACGAGGTCAGGAGATCGAGACCATCCTGGCTAACACAGTGAAACCCCATCTCTACTAAAAATACAAAAAATTAGCCAGGTGTGGTGGCGGGCACCTGTAGTCCCAGTTACTCGGGAGGCTGAGGCAGGAGAATGGCATGAACCTGGGAGGCGGAGCTTGCAGTGAGCCGAGATCACACCACTGCACCCCAGCCTGGGCGACAGAGCGAGACTCCATCTCAAAAAAAAAAAACAAAACAAACAAAAATAGACTACATTATTCATATGTAGTGACTGGTGCTGAGGAAGTCCATACCTCTAGTAAAGATGAAACCAAGCTAATTGGAAAAGAAATTGGCAAAATTCTAAATTACAGCCTCTGTTGGTAGTTATGATAATTGTTTGAGTTGGGCTAAATACTAGTTAGTTTTAAACAACTCATGTTTTGGTTGCACATGTCAGTAGGTGAATATATTAGTGGAGCTTGGTTCTTTGGGTGAAATGCTTGATTTGCTGACTGACAACACATTTCATTTATTCATTGCCACTGAAGAACCTGCCACTTAAAGCAAAAACAATGTAAAAAAAATCAATTGAATTACACCTTCCAGATATGCCAAGTGTTTTTAGTGCTGCAGTCAGCATTTTACCTTACTTGAGTGATTTATATAATCATGATAATTTGGTAAGAGTAGAGGCACATACCATTCTGCCTTGTTGTCTCCTTACCTTCAAACCCACATTTTGTGAAAGGAGGCAGATGGCATAAGGTAAAGAAGATTCTTGGATAAGTAATCTGTGTGAAAGGAGTAATAAGTTATCTTCCAAAGGCAAAAAACTAGCTAAACCAGGGAGCAAAAAAGGCAATAATGTATTAGATTTGGAAAGGACAACTAAGCGAGGAGGTGAGTGGGTGGACAAAGGAATGGCATGGGAGTTAGAAGTAGGTTCTAGTTACAGCTCTGCCAACATTTATCTGGGTGACCTTGGGCAAGTTCATGTAGGGAGCTGATTGGACTTGGTGTTCCTTAAGTGCTTTTTCATCTCTCATAATGCCATCATTTTGAGTCTCAGCAACAGTTCGAGTCCCTGAGAGATGGTCATTTTGTCACTCCTTGAATACTTTTCAAATGTGTCAGGAGTTGCCAGTGCTCACCAGTGTCTGTGATCCCCACTGCATTCGGGCACAGCTAAACTTAATTTCTAAGTCTCTGTGTCTCTGTGCATCTGAGTTCTGACCAATGGAATATGAGTGGAAGTGATGTCCAAATTCCAGGCCTGGCATGAAGAACCTCCACTTCCGCCCCTGCTCTCTTTCCCCGTCATTTGGCTGAAAGAAAAACACTTCTAGGGCTTAGAGGAGGACAGTGCCATAACCTGGAAGAAACTTGGGTCCGTGCATGACTGAGTGGAGCAGAGTTTTCTTCATCCCACTGACTTGCATTCTATTGTGAGACATGAACAAGAAATAATATTTGGTGGTGTGAAGCCACTGAAAATTCAAGGTTGTGTGTTGTAGCAATCAATCTACCGTAATTAATGTAAGGTGATGAGAAACACATGACTTTAAGAGGCAATTCTAATTACAGTAAGTTCCTTCTTGATAACAATGTTATTTTCTTTTAAATATAATTTAAAAATATACTATTAGTTGTACTAGTAGTAGCATTATAGTAAATATTTAAATGACATGTCAGGTACTGTTCTGAGAAGTAGACATTGTTAAACTACTTTAATCCTCAGAACAATCCTATAAGCTGGTTCTCTTATCCTCATTTTACAAAAAAGGAACTAAAAAAAGAGAGATTAAGTAATTTGCCCATGGTTACAAAGCTAGTACAGATCATAAGTTTATCTTACTAGAATTTTATGAGATTAGAAAGGTCAGACATTGTTATTCCTGCCAATTTATGAATGAGGAATATATAAACTAGAGCTCTTCTTATTGGAAGTTTTAAGAAACCTGACTGAAATTGACTTAAGCCAAAATGGTAATGGAGAGTTCACATAACTAAATAGCCAGCCAGGACCTTACAAGACATCATCAAGACCAGTCTTTTTCACATTCTTGGCTCACCTGTTTTTGAGGCTGCCTCTTTCCATAGCTTCTTATGGGATCAATAGGACTGCAGGCAGTTCCAGTACATTTGTTTTTTGTTTTTTGTTTTTGAGACTGAGTCTTGGACTGCCACCCAGGCTGGTATACAGTGGTGCAATCTTGGCTCACTGCAACCTCTGCCTCCCAGGTTTAAGCGATTCTTCTGCGTCAGCCTCCCCAGTAGCTGTGACTACAGGCATGCGCCACCGTGCCCAGCTAATTTTTTGTATTTTTAGTAGAGATGAAGTTTCACCATGTTGGCCAGGCTGGTCCCGAACTCTTGACCTCAGGTGATCCACCTGGGCCTCCCAAAGTGCTGGGATTACAGATGTGAGCCACTGCGCATGGCCATCCAGCATGTATCCTTTAAATTCATCCAAGCTAGCAGAAATAAGAGAGCTTTTGATTTTCCTACAGTACAAACAAAAGTTCTGCCTCTCAATGGATTGAGTCTTGCCCTCAATCCTGAACCAATCACTATAGCCAAGGAACTGTAATCCCTAATTGGCCAGGCTGGGTCATATGTCTAATCTTGGAGTCAAAGATCTGAATCAATTCTATCAGAAATAGATGACTGAGAATATAGAAGAGGTTGGTTACGAGAGGAAAATGTACTGATGTACCAAAGGAAGGCATGGACATTGGACAGCCAATATGTAATGACCTTTTTTGTGAGCCCAAGTCCCAGAGAGGTTCAAGGACTTGCCTAAAGTCATACAACTAATGATCTTGATGACACAGCCTATCCACAATGAATCTGTCTTATTCACCTTTGCCTATCTGCTACCTGTCCCAGCCACTTTTTGAATGAAAAAAGGAATAAATATTACGTGATTAAGACTTATACCCATGTCTTCTGACTTTACACCTTAATACTCTTTCCATTGACTATTTCCAGGGCTGCACAATACCGCTTACACTATGTGTGAAGATTAATAAACAATTGTTGTTTGCTATAAAAGGTGGCTTTGAGTTCCTCAAGGGATATGCTGCTATGATGCTGGGACAGCTCTCTGTACTCTGACTTTCTCTCTCCTGGATGCAGCTGTCGTGACTTCTTGATGAACTCTATCAGCAATGATAAGGGATTCAGTGAAATGGTGGCATTTCTGCTTAGTCCTGCCTACCATGATATGATGCTGACAGATCCTTCTTTGAAGAGTCACTTCATGGCTGGTACTATTGGAACTGTCAACTACTGTACTTGGGAATCTCAATCAAACTTGTGATGATGGGAATAGATTTACATTTACAGCTTTCAAGTACAAAGCAATATTAATGCATTCATGTTGAACTAACATTATGCCTGGGGCTCAATTTCCAAGTGAGAGTTTGCTTGACAATTATTTTCTCAGAAGCTGGTAAGTAGAAATTAAGGAATAGGTACAGCTGAAATGTAGTTTTGAATTTTGCTAGGGTCTTGATCATGCTTTTCTTGTATGTTCTATCTCTGTCCTCAAAAAAAAAAAAAAAAGTGTAACTCTCGCTGGGCATGGTGGCTCATGCCTGTAATCCCAGAACTTCGGGAGGCTGAGGTGGGCGAATCATGAGGTCAAAAGATCGAGACCATCCTGGCCAACATGGTGAAACCTCATCTCTACTAAAAAACACAAAAAAAACTAGCTGGGTGTAGTGGCGCGCACCTGTAGCCCCAGCCACTCGGGAGGCTGAGGCAGGAGAACCGCTTGAGATGGAGGTTGCAGTGAGCTGAGATGGCACCACTGGACTCCAGTCTGGTGACAGAGCAAGACTCTGTCTTAAAAAAAAAAAAAGTGTAACTCTCCTACTGAATGTTTGTTTCTTCTAATACCATAAAGAGAAAATGGATATCTCAGATCCAACCTATGACCAGGTCTTGTCTATTTTACCTTCTGCATATCTGCTATATCCATCTTCTATTCTATTTAATTCTCACTGTTCTGGTCCAGGCTTTCAATAGATCTTGTCAGGGTTTATTGTGGTTTAATATAATAAAACCTCACTTTTCATTCATGTTGTAGGCCACTGAAGCTTGCAGGGGGTTTCTGCTCCACGTTATAATTCAGGGACCCAGGTTCCTTCTATTGCATGACTCCACCATCTAGCAGCATCTCCTCTGCATATAGCTAGAAGATAAGAAATGGAGACTGTAAGAATCTCAAGGGAGGTTTTCAGAATATGAACCTAGAAGTAATTTGCATGATTCCCATCCTCATTTTATTAAGACTAAGTCACATGGGCTTCATCTAAAGGGAAGCTGAAACATGTAGTTTAGCTGTGTGCACAGGAGGAAAAGGAATGTTCTTTGCCATATCTGATGATATGGTTTGGCTCTTTGTCCCCACCCAAATCTCATCGCAAATTGTAATCCCCATGTGTCAGGGAGGAATCTGGTGGGAGATGATTGGATCATGGGGGTGGTTTCCCCCGTGCTGCTCTCATGGTAGTAAGGGAGTTCTCATGAGATCTGATGGTTTATAAGTGGCAGTTTTCCCTGGGCTCTCTCCTCTCTCCTGCTGCCTAATGAATAAGGCACTTGCTTCTCCTTCACCTTCTGCTGTGATTTTAAGTTTCCTGAGGCCTCCTATCCAGCCATGTGGGACTGTGAGTCGATTAAGTCTCTTTCCTTTGTAAATTACCTGGTCTCTGGCAGTTCTTTATAGCAGTGTGAAAATGGATTAATATACCTGGAATACTGTAGTAGTCTCCAAGATAACCTGTCCCCTAGCTTACAGTCTTGCCATACTGTCACCAGAAGTATATGAAGTGTATTTGTCATCTTGCTGTTTTCCAACTATTTCAGCAGCTGCTTAGCTTCTAAGAAAAAACTCAAGTTATATAGTATGACAGGCAGAAGCCTTCTTGATCTTGCCCTGCTTCTCCAGCCTGTTTCCTCCTGGGACCCTTCCTCATACTTGGTGCTCCAACTTTTCTAAATTTCTTATGGCTCCAGAACACACAAGGCTGCCTTTTCACCTCCTGCATTTGCACATGCTACTTCCTATGCTTGTAATACCTTTCTCAGCTTGCATTTCCATCTGCTGGTTGAATAGCTATCTGTATCTTTTGAGATTCAACTCAGTTCCTCTGTGAAGACTTTTACAATACTCCCTGACCCTAGGTAGAAGTAACCACTCATGCCTTTACTTTTTCTCTGAGCCCAGACCTCTGTGAAGAGCATACTACAGTTTAGGGGCTGGAGAGAATAATTCTTAAGGGTAAAGGAGTCAGATAGTTTCTGAGTTTGATTAAAATCTCAACTTCACTGCATGCTAGCTTTATGAGCTTGGGAAAGTCACTAAACACTTATAAGCTTTAGTGTGTTCATGTCAATAGATATAGCAGTAATACTTCCTGTTAGGGCTATTGTAAAATTTGAATAAAATAATATGGTTTAGTGCTTGGCACATAACACATATTCAATAAATATTAGCTCTTAATATCGCTGTTATTCCATATGTGTTGCACTTTATAGACTCTAAGTAACTTGAACACAGGCACTGTATCTTCTGACTCATATTTGCTATATTCCAGTCCTGAATCATATACTTAGAATATATTGTTGAATAGATGAGTAAGTTAATGAATGAGTTATGCTAGTGTCCCACAAATTACCTCTATTTTAGGGAAGATAAATCTCTCCAGAGAACTCTCAGTGAATAACAGGTGTGTCCTTTATCCTGTGTGTCTGTTCTTACATCTTTCCTTTTTTCTCTATCTCTTCTTCTTCCCATTTTTTTGCCAGACCTCTATTCCTTCAAAACATTGCCCTCTCTGTGTCACTTTGTCTTTGTGCCTCTATGTCTTTGCACTCATTGTACCCATCTCTGCAATTCTATCATCTACTTCTGGTATCAAATTCTTGCTCATCCTTAAGTCAGTTATCTTTCTTCTGGAGCTGTCTTGATTTCTGCCCTTCTTCCTCGAAGTATCTCTCGTTGCATTCATTTTTGGGCTCAACAAATACAGCAGCCATCTTACTTGGAACACCTGCCATATGCTAGGCGGTGAGATAAGCAGTGCATGATCTCTCTCTGTCTCTCTCTGTCTCTCTGTCTCTCTCTCTCTCTCTCCTGGTGGCCCTTCTAAGTTTCCTCTTCATATTTTTGCCCTTTTCTTATCTCTCCCACTAGCAAGTAGGATCCTTGAAACAAGATTCAAGTGTGAATCAAAATTGTATTCTTCCTGATGTCTTAGAGTTAGGCTATTCAATAGTTGAAGGAAAGACAAAGACATAGAAAGTACATCATTTCCTCTTGATCCTAGAAAAGGATCAAGAGACTAGTATGGCCACGGGTTGAACAGTATTCCAGGCTGTGCCTGGACAATAATCAGGATGTATTCCAATTTAATATTATCTTCTGATACTATTCAGTCCCAATTAGATTCTTGGGGCTCTGTCTGCAACAACACCATGGCTAGCTAGAATGACACCATGGAACGTTGAGAAAGATGAATGGAGTTGGAATTATCCAATTTGAAGAATGAAAGGTTGCAGGAAGCTGATACACAGAACCTATAAAAGTGCCATTTAGCACAGAAAGGGTTAGTCAGCAGTCAGCAGTAGAGTGGATTTAGGTTATAAATACGAGAGTTTCTTTCATATGACCACCTTTCGACTTATTGAGAAATATTTTACCATGTATATCTTGAAAAGCACTACAAACATTAATCTTTCCAGAAGTGTTAAAACATCCTTATACCCACAGGCTGAAGAATGTGCTAGATAAGTTTTAAAAATTGAGGACAAGATATTTTTATGCCTTAACTTGTTTTTATGAGAATGAGAACTAACATTTATTGAGCCAGGTATGAAACTATTGATTTTACAGATTATCACATTTAATGTTCATAATAACTATGTTCATCATAATGTAAATATTTGTATTTTATAGGCTCAGAGAGGCCAGTTGAAATAGCAAATATCACATAGGTAAACAGTGCTGGAGTCAGAATTTGAACTCAGGTCCTAGCTGAATATGAAGCTACTGTTCTCTGGGTATATGCACTTCCCTTAACCGGAATACTGTCTTTTAGTCTGAGAAGTAAATTAAAATAAAAACATTTCTTCAGATGCCCCAGTTGAATGACTATGAGGCATTTAATACAGATACAGATTTGGACAGAGATATGTGCATATGGCTAATCTCTTAACTTCTGCTGCAGCAGCAAATTCTTTATCCAACGTCTTCTTCTTCCCTTTGTTCATTTATTGTAGTGGCTGGAGCAGACCCTTTGAATTTGGTTCTTGTGTTACTAGCTATGTGACTTTGGCTAAGTTACTTAGTTACTTTACCTCTTTGTAACTCTGTTTTTCTTTGTTTTTCTTTTCTTTTTTTTTTTAGACAGAGTTTTGCTTTTGTTGCCCAGGCTGGAGTGCAATGGTGCGATCTTGGCTCACTGCAACCTCCGCCTCCCTGGTTCAAGTGATTCTCCTGCCTCAGCCTCCCGAGCAGCTGGCATTACAGGCGTGCGCCACCATGCCTGGCTAATTTTTGTATTATTAGTAGAGATGGGGTTTCACCATGTTGCCCAGAATGGTCTTGAACTCCTGACCTCAGGTGATCCACCCGCCTCGACCTCCCAAAGTGCTGGGATTATAGGCGTGAGCCACTGCGCCTGGCCGTAACTTAGTTTTATCATTTGTAAATAGAGATAATAATAGTACTTATTTCATAGAATTGTTGTGAGGATAAAAAAAGATAAAGTGTAGTGTTGCACATAGTAGACGAATAATGTCTTAGTCTGTTTTGTATTGCTACAAAGGACTACCAGAGGCTAGGTAATTTATAAAGAAAAGAGGTTTATTTGGCTCAGGGTGCTGTGGGCTGTACAATAATCATGGCACTGGCATCTGCTTCAGGTGAGGGCCACAGGCTGCTTCCATTCATGGCAGAAGGCAAAGGGGAGCCAGAACGTGCTGAGATCACATGGTGAGAACAGAAGCAAAAGACGGTGAGAAAGGACCAGGTTCTTTTAAACAATCAGCTCTCAATGAAACAGTGAGACTTACTCACTTCCCTCTTCCCAGGGAGGGCACTAATCTACTCATGAGGGATCTTCCCGCACGACCCAAATACCCTCCCATTAAGCCCCGCCTCCAATATTAGTGACTAAATTTCAACATGAGATTTGGTGGGGAAAACAAGCCATATTCAAACCATAGCAAATAATAAATATTAGATATCAATTTTTAAAAGAAATTTAATTGGTAAAATACAAATAACACAAAATTTACCATCCTAATCATTTCTAAGTGTACATTCACATTGTTTTGTTCATTACCACCCTCCATCCACAGAAGTCTTTTCATCTTGCAAAACAGAAACTCTGTACTTATTTAAAAATACCATTTAATCTAGCAATCCCACTACTGGGTATATACCCAAAGGGAAGGAAATCATTATATCAAAGAGATACCTACACTTATATATTTATTGCAGCACTATTCACAATAGCAAAAATATGGAATCAAACCAAGTGTCCATCAATGAAGTATTGTATAAAGAAAATGCGAGACATACATACACACACACACATATATACATATATACACATACACACACGCACACATGGAATACTATTCAGCCACAAAACAAATGAAATCATGTATTTTGCAGCAACATGGATGGAACTGGAGACCGTTATCCTAAGTGAAATAACTCAGGAACAGAAAATCAAATACTACATGTCTCACTTATAACTTGGAGATAACAATGATACACATGGACACATAGAGTAGAATAATAGACATTGAAGACTATGAAAGATGGAAGGGTGGGGGAGAGGTGAGGGTTGAAAAATTAACTATTGTTTGCAGTGTTCACTATTCAAGTGATGGGTACATTAAAAGCCCAGACTTCACCACTAGGCAGTATATGCATGTAAGGAATCTGCACTTGTACCCCCTAAATATATAAAATTAAAAATAATTTAAATCCATCTCCCCATTCCTAGCCCTGCCAGCCCCTGGCAACCACCATTCTATCTTCTTTCTGTTTCTATCTCTATGAGTTTGACTGTTCTAGGTGCCTTCTATAACTGGAATCATGCAGTATTTTTCCTTAGCTATTGATTCTTAGGAGTCGGAACATCTAAGTGCAGTCTTAGCTCCTTGGCTTCCTAGCTGTGTTCCTTTGAGAAAGAATCTTCCTTTTAAATGCCTGAGGTCCTTCAGCTGTAAAATGGGAATAATAATACTCCCTTTCAGCTGGTTTTGCAAAGCAAAGGTGGTGTTAGACATGAAAATACTTTGTGTTCTCCACAGTGGTATTTTTATTGCAGGTGGTCACATATTTTTACGCATTAATTAATCTGTTCCTCCACCCATCACAACATTCATTCCTTTAATAAACTTTAATGAGGTCCTTCTGTGTACCAGCCTCTGTGCTAGGCACCTGCGAAGACACAAAGATACAGACTCTACTCTCAACATTTCACAGACAAGTTAGGAGGCAAAGGGGATACAGATCTACAGCAGCCGGTGGGTGTCGTAGTTGTTATATGCACAGAACTAAGGTCTCAGTCCAGTGGTGGTTCAAAGGGGAAACTTTTAAATGGAGTGGCCCCTCGATTGCAAAGCATCATTTTGGAAAGAGCCCTGGATGAGCTCCAGAAGACCTGTGTCCTCCAGCTTCACGGTTAGCCAGTCCAGTGACCTGGGACAGTCCTGTTCCCCTCTCTCGGCCTCAGCTTGCACTCAGGGAATGGTTTTCCAGTTGAGTTCTCTGGTGTGCTGGAATTCAGTGGTCCGGGATTCTTTCCTTCACTACTCTGTTTATATTATTGGGATTCCGATTGAAAAAAAGGAAAAATGTTCCACTGCTTTAAAAAGTTTGCAACTAGAGATGTACCTTTGGGCAAGGTACCTAATTTTTCTAAACCTCCATTTCCTCATCTGTAAAATGGGGATAATAACAGTACTTACCTTAAGAAAGTTATTGTAAGAACTAAATGTGTTTATAGTCATAGTAAGTGCTCAGTAAATATTAGTTAATATTATTGTCATTATTATTTGGAAAACTCTGGCTAAGAAGATCTCTCAGTCCCTTCCTGTGATGACCTGAGTCTTACACCATCCTCCATGTATCTTGTATTTCTGTTTGCTTTCCAACCTCAAGCTCCTTGATTTCCCTCTCACATTTCACATATACTCAGGCCTTGGACCCTTGGCTTCCCACGTTCTTCTGTGGGCTATTGTTGATAACCTGGGATGGGGACTGTGAGAGCCCATTGGGGCCTGGGTGTCACAGCATGTGTCCCCTTTCCTCCACCCATGCGGGAAGTCGAGTTTTCCTCCCTCCCCAGTCCCACAGTCTCATCAGCTAGAACACGGTTCTCCGCCTTGGAATAGTCAACTTGCTCAGTAAGTGAACTAATTACACTGGCTGCGCTTCTCTTTTGTTCCCCGGTCTTGCCGATTTGCTATTTATAGCATTTCCAAAGATGTTTCCTGGCAGTGTCCCTTTTCATTCTGCCTCAAAGACATGACACGGAGTGTAAAAACAGCTATAACAAAGCCCCAGAGGCTCTGCCCCCTGAGAACTTTTGGGTAGAGAGTGCTAGATCTTATTTATTTATTTTTTTAACCTGATATTTTCCCAGCAAAGAGACAATGGATGGTAATCAGGCTCTTTCTAGTTGGAGTGGTTTGTTTAAAAAAAGAAGAATTCAGGAAAGGAGACAGAAAGAGAGAACCCGTGGCCAACATCCACACAATGTGCATGACAGACTGCTAGCATGAAACTAGTCAGAGTGTAACCTATTTGACATCAAGAATTAGAGAAGTGGGGATAGGCTGGACTGCTGCCTGGATGGGAAGGTGAGCTGGTTCACCACGTGGGACAGGTGTTGTCAGTGTCAGGAACCCCACAGTAGCCCCTTGAAGTTCAGAGTGGTGGAGTACAGTCAGTCAGGGGTTTCTTTCTCCATCTTTGACCCAATGTGAGAACAGCAGGATTCTTTCTTATATCTGGCATATATTAGTCTGCAAAGAGTACT